>NW_021160024.1:153767-307535 GCF_000001405.40 Homo sapiens | reverse complement strand
AAGAAATAGAATGGAATCCGTTGGAATCATCATCAAATGGAACCGAATGCAGTCATCTTCGAATGGAATAGAATGGAATCATCTAATGGATTAGAATGGAATCATCATCGAATGGAATTGAATGGAATCATCGAATGGACTCGAATGGAATGACCATCAAATGGAATCGAATGGAATCATCGAATGTACACGAATGGAATCATTGTTGAATGGATTCGAATGGAATCATCAAATGACATCGAATGGAATCATCTTCGAATGGAATCTAATGAAATCATCGAATGGAATCGAATGGAATCATCGAATGGACTTGAGTGGAATCATCATCAAATGATATCGAATGGAATCATTGAATTTACTCAAATGGAATAATCATCAAATGGAATCGAATGGAATCATCATCGGATTTAAACGAATGGAATCATCATCAAATGGAATCGAATGATTCTTCGAATGGAATCATCATCGAATGGAATCGAATGATTCATCGAATGGAATAAGATGGAATCATCATTAATTGGAATCGAATAGAATCATCGAATGTAATCGGATGGAATCAACATCGAATGGACTCGAATGGAACCATCATCGAATGGACTCGAATGGAATCATCATCCAATGGAATCAAATGGAATCAACATCGAATGGAATCAAATGGAAACACCATCGAATTGAATCGAATGGAATCATCACGGAATTGAAATGAATAGACTCATTATCAAATGGATTCGAAGGGAATCATCTATTGGAATTGATTGGAATCATCATCGAATGGAATCGAATGGAATCATTGAATGGAATCGAATGAAATCATCACTGAATGGAATCGGATGGTATCATCGAATGGACCCTAATGGAATCATCATCGAATGGAATCAGATGGAATCATCAAAGGGACTTGAATGGAGTCATCAAATGGACTCGAATGGAATCATTATTGAATGGAATTGAATGGAATCATCAAAAGGTCTCGAATGGAATCATCATCGAATGGAATCAAATGGAATCATCGAATGGAATTGAATGGAATCATCATTGAAAGGAATCGAATAGAATCAGCGTCAAATAGAATCGAATGCAATTATCATCAAATGGAATCGAATGGAATTTTCATCAAATGGAATAGAATGGAATTATCATGGATTAGAATCGGATGAGATCATTGAATGAAAGAGAAAGGAATCATCATCAAAAAGAATCGAAATAAAACAGAGAATGGAATCCAATGGAATCATCGAATGGAATCAAATGGAATCATCATTGAATGGGTTCGAATGAAATCATCATCGAATGGAATCGAATGAAATCATGGAATGCACTCGAATGGAATCATGGAATGGACTCCAATGAAATCAACATCGAGTGGAATCGAAAGGAAACATTGAATGGTATTGAATGGAATCATCGAATGGAATGATCATCGAATGGAATGGACTGCAATCATTGAATGGACTCCAATGAAATCAACATCAAGTGGAATCGAAAGGAGACATCGAATGGTATTGAATGGAATCATCGAATGGAATCATCATCGAATGGAATCGACTGGAATCATCGAATGGACTCAAATGGAATCAAAAGGAATCATCGAATGGAATCAAATGGAATCATCATTGAATGGAATCGAATGGAATAATCATGGAATGGAGTCAAATGAAATCATCATCGAATGGAATCGAATGGAAACATCATCGAATGGAATCGAATGGAATCATCAACGAATGGAATCGAATGGAAACATCATCGAATGGAATCGAATGGAATCATCAATGAATGGAATCGAATGGAGTCATCAAATGGAGTCCGTTGGAATCATCATAGAATGGAACCGAATGCAGTCATCATCGAGTGAAATCAAATGGAATAATTGAATGTATTCGATGGAATCATCATCGCATGGAATCGAATGGAATCATCAAATGGACTCGAATGCAATCATCGAATGGACTCGAATGGAATCATCATCGAATGGAATCGAAAGGAATCATTGAATGGACTCGAATTGAAATATCATCGAGTGGAATCGAATGGAATCATAGAATGCACCCGAATGCAATCACCATCGAATGGAATCAAATGGAATCATCGAATGGAATCGAGTGGAATCATCATTGAATGGAATTAAATGGAATAGTCATTGAATGGAATCAAACGGAATCATCATTGAATGGAATCTAATGGAATCATCATCTAATGGAAACGAATGGAATCATTAACGAATGGAATCAAATGAAGAAATAGAATGGAATCCGTTGGAATCATCATCAAATGGAACCGATTGTAGTCATCATCGAATGGAATCGAATGGAATCATCTAGTGGATTAGAATGGAATCATCATTGAATGGAATTGAACAGAATCATCGAATGGACTCTAATGGAATGACCATCAAATGGAATCGAATGGAATCATCAAATGTACATGAATGGAATCATCGTTGAATGGATTCGAATGGAATCATCGAATGACATCGAATGGAATTATCTTCGAATGGAATCTAATGAAATCATCGAACGGAATCGAATGGAATCAATGAATGGACTTGAGTGGAATCATCATCGAATGGAATCAAATGTAATCATTGAACAGACTCGAATGGAATCATCATCAAATGGAATCGAATATAATCATAATCAAATGAAATCAAAGGGAATCATCATCTATAGGATTCGATTGGAACAATCATTGAATAGAATCAAATGGAATCACTGAATTGAATCAAATGGAAGGATCACGATATGGAATCGAAGGGAATCATCAAATGGGATCAAATGGAGTCATCGAACAGAATCGAGTGGAATCATCAAATGGATTCGAATGGAATCATCATCGAATGGAATTGAATGGAATCATCGAATGGACACGAATGCAATCATCATTGAATGGCCTCGAATGGAATCATCAAATGGAGTTGATTGTAATCATCATCGAATGGAATCAAAAGGAATCATCAAATAGCATCGAATGGAATCATCGTCGAATGGAGTCGAATGGAATCATCGAATGGACTCAAATGGAATCGTCATGGAACGTAATCGAATGGAATCTTCGAATGGACTCGAATGGAATCACCATAGAATGCAATCGAATGGAATCATCATCGAATGGAATGGAATGGAATCATCGAATGGAAGAGAATTGAATCATCATTGAATGGAATCGAATAGAACCATTGAATGAAATCGAATGGAATCATCTTCGAATGGAATCGAATGGAATCATCAATGAGTGGAATCAAATGGAAACATAGAATGGAATCCAAAGTAATTGTCATCGAATTGAACCCAATGTAATCATTAAATGGACTCGAATGGAATCATCGAATGTACATGAATGGAATCATCATCGAATGGAATAGAAAGGAATCATTGAATGCAATCTAAGGGAATCATCACCAAATGAATTCAAATGGAATCATCGAATAGACTCGAATGGAATCATCATTGAATGGAATCGAATGGAATCATTGAATGGAATTGGATGGAATCATTGAAACGAATTGAAAGGAATCATCATCGAATGGTATCAAATGGAATCACCATGGAATGGAACCAAATGGAATCATCATCGAATCGTATCGAATGGAATAATCATCTTATGGAATCGAATGGAATCATCATCAAAAGAAATCGAATTTAATCATCGAATGGAATCAAGTGGAATCATCATCAAATGTAATCAAAAGGAATCATCATCGAATGGAATCGAATGGAATCATCATCTAATGTAATCGAAAGGAATCATCATCGATTGGAATAAAATTGAATCATCATCGAATGGAATCAAAAGGAATCATCACTGAATGGAATCAAATGGAATCATCACCGAATGGAATCAAAAGGAATCATCATCGAATTGAATTGAATGGAATCATAATCGAATGGAATCGATTGGAATCATGGAATGTACCCGAATGTAATCATAATTGAATGGAATCGATTGGAATCATGGAATGTACCCGACTGTAATCATCATCGAATGGAATGGAATTTTATCATTGAATGGACTCGAGTGGATTCATCATTGAGTGGAATGGAACGGAATCATCATCGAATGGACCCGAGTGGAATAATCATCGCATGGAATTGAATGGAATCATCATCAAAAGGATTTGAATTAAATCTTCGAATGGAATCAAATGGAAACATTATGGAATGGAATCGAAAGGAATCATCATCGAATGGAATTGAATGGAATCATCATCGAATGGAAGCAAAAGGAATAGTCATCGAATGGAATTGAATGGAATCATCATTGAATGGAATCGATTGGAATCATGGAATGTACCCGAATGGAATCATCATTGAATGGAATCAAATGGAATCATCGAATGGACTCAAATGGAGTCATCATTGAGTGGAATCGAAATGAATCATCAAGTGGAATCAAAGGGAATGATCATTGAATGAAATAGAATGGAATCCCCATCTAATGGCATCGAATGGAATAATCATCAAATGGAATCGAATGCAATCATTGAATGAACTCAAATGGAATCATCATCGAATGGACTCAGATGGAATCATCATCGAATGGAATCGAATGGAATCATCATCACATGGAATTGAATGGAATCATCAGCAAGTGGAATTGAATGGAATCATCTAATGGAATTGAATGGAATCATCGAATGGCCTCGAATGGAATAATCATTGAATGGAATCGAATGGAATCATCATCAAATGGAATCGAATGGCATCGTCATCTAATGGAATGGAAGGGAATCATCATCAAATGGAATTGAACAGAATCGTCATTGAATCGAATCATCATCAAATGGAATCGAATGGAATCATCATCAAATGGAATCGAATGGAATAATCATCAAATGGAATTGCAGGGTATCTTCACCGAATGGAATTGAATGGCATCATCATCTAATGGAATCGAATGGAATCATGGAAAGGACTAGAATGGAATCATCATTCAATGGAATCGAAGGGAATCATTGAAAAGAGTCGAATGGAATCATCATCGAATGGAATCAAATGGAATCATCATCGAATGGAATCAAATGGAATCAACAAATTGACTCGAATGGAATCAACGTCGAATGGAATCAAATGCAATCATCATATGGACTCGAATGGAATCATCATTGAATGGAATAGAATGGAATCATTGAATGGACTCGAATGGAATCATCATCAAATGGACTCTAATGGAATCATCATGGAATGGACTCGAATGGAATCATCATGGAATGGACTCGAATGGAATCATCATTGAATGGAATCAAACGGAATCATCATCAAATCCAATTGAATGGAATCATCATCTAATGGAATCAAAATAACTGATCATCAAATGGAATCAAATGGAATAATCATCGAATGGAATGGAATGGAATCATCCAGTGGAATTGAATGGAATGAACATCGAAAGGAAGAAAAAAAATCCTCGAAAGTAATTGAATAGAAACATCATCGAATGGAATCCTCATTGAATGGAAACTAATAGAATCATCATCAAATGGAAACGAATGGAATCATCATGGAATGGGATCTAAAGGAATCATCATCAAAAGGAATTGAATGGAGTAATCATCTAATGGAATTGAATGGAATCATAGAATGGACTCGAATGTAATCATCATCTAATGGAATAGAATGGAATCATAGAATGGACTCGAATGTAATCGTCATCTAATGGAATAGAATGGAATAAGCGAATGGACTCGAATGGAATCATCATCGAATGGAATCGAATGAAATCATCAAATGAAATCATCGAATGGAATCATCAAATGGAATCGAATGGAATTATCGAATGGAATCGAATGAAATCATCGAATGGAATTGAATGAAATCATCAAATGGAATCGAATGGAATAAGCATCGAATGGAATCGAATTGAATCACCATCGAACGGAATTGAATAGAATCATCACCGAATGGAATCAAATGGAATAACCATCGAATGGAATCGAATTGAATCACCATCGAACGGAATCGAATAGAATCATCACGAATGGAATCGAATGGAATCATGGAATGAACTCGAATGGAATCATCCTCGAATGGACTCGAATGGAATCAACACCGAATGGAATCGAATGAATTCATTGAATAGACTCAAATTGAATTATCATCGAATGGAATAGAAGGGAATCATCGAATGGAATTGAATTGAATCATCAAATGGAATCGAATGGAATCATCAAATGGACTCCAATGGAATCCTCATCGAATGGAATCAAATGGATTCATACAATGGTATGGAATGCAAATATCATCAAATGAAATCAAATGGAATCATCATCGAATGCAGTGCAATGGAATTGTCAATGAATGGAATCAAATGGAATTATCGAATGGGATTGAATGGAATTATCATCGAATGGAATTGAAGGGAATCATCAAAACGAATCGAATTGACTCATCAAATGGAATCGAATGGAATCATCAAATGGACTCGAATGGAATCATCATCGAATGAAATCTAATGGACACTTCCATTGGGCTCGAATGGAATTATCATAGAATGGAATCGAATGGAATCATTGAATGGACTCGAATAGAAACATCATTGAATGAAATCGAATTTATTCATTGAAAGGAATCAAATGGAATCATTATCTAATGGAATCATCTAAAGGACTGGAATGGAATCATCTTCGAATGGAATCGAATGGAATCATTGAATGGATTTGAATAGAAGCATCATTGAATGGAATCGAACAGAATCATTGAATAAAATCGAATGGAATCTTCATCGAATGGAATCGAATGGAATAATCATGGAATGGAATCAAAAGGAATCATCCTCGAATGGACTCGAATGAAATCATCGAATGGACTCGAATGGAATCATCGAATGGAATTGAATGGAATCCTCCAATGGCCCCGAATGGAATCATCATCGAATGGAATCGAATGGAATCATTGAACAGACTCGAATGGAATCATGATAGAAAGGAATCGAACGGAATCATTTAACGGACTCGAATGGAATCATGATAGAAAGGAATCAAATGGAATCATCTAGTGGAATCGAATGGAATCATCATCGAATGAAAACGAATGGAATCATTGAATGACATCGAATGGAATCATCATCAAATGGAATCGAATGGAATCGTCGAACAGACTCGAACGTAATCATCAGCGAATGGAATTGAATGGAATCATTGTATGGGCTCAAATGGAATCATCATCAAAAGAATCGAATGGAATCATCATCGAATGGAATCCAATAGAATCATCAAATGGAATCAAATAGGATCATCAAATCAAATCGAATGGAATCATCTTCGAATGGAATTGAATGGAATCATCATCGAATGGAATCATCATCGAATGGAATTTAATGGAATCATCATTGAATGGTATCGAATGGAATCATCAACGAATGGAATCAAATGGAATCATCGAATGGAATCAAATGGAATCATCATCAAATGGAACAGAATGGAATCATCATCAAATGGAACCTAATGGAGTCATCGTCAAATGGAATTGAAAGGAATCATCATCGAATGGAATCAACATAGAATGTACACGAATGGAATCATCATTGAATGGAATCGAATGGAATAATCAAATAGAAACATCATCGAATGAAATTGAATGGGATCATCGAAAGGAATCGAATGGAATCCTTATCGAATAGTATCATCGAATGGAATGGAATGGAATCATCATCGAAGGTAATCGAATGGAATCATCTAATGAAATCGAATGGAATCATCATTGAATGGCATCGAATTGAATCATTGAATGAAATCAAAAGGAATCATCATCGAATGGAATCGAATAGAATCATCAAATGGAATGGAATGGAGTCATCATCAAATGGTATCAATGGAATCATAGAATGGTTTTGAATGGAATCATCATCAAATGGAATCAAATGCAATCACCATCGAATGGAATTAAAGGCAATCATCAAATGGATTTGAATAGAATCATTGAATGGACACGAATGGAATCATCACTGAATGGAATCTGATCAAATCAACATATGGAATCGAATGGAATCATAATCAAAATGAATCAAATGGAATCATCTAATGGACTGGAATGAAAACCTCATCAAAAGGAATCAAATGGAATCATCGAATGGACTCGAATGGAATCATCATTGAATAGAATCGAATGGAATCATCCTCAAATGGACTTGAATGGAAGCATTAAATGAACACGAATGGAATCATTGAATGGAAACTTATGCAATCATTATCAATGGAATCGAAGGAAATAATCAACAAACGGAATGGAATAGAATGATCGAATGGAATCAAATGGAATTATCATCAAATGGAATCGAATGGAATCATCATCGAATGGAATCATCATTGAATGTAATCAAATGAAATCATCATCGAATGGAATCGAATGGAATCATCAAAGAATGGAATCGAATGGAATCATCGAATAGAATGGAATGAAATCATCATCCAATGGAACCGAATGGAATCATCATCAAATGAAACCTAATGGAATCATCATCAAATGGAAATGCATGGAATCATCATCGAATGGAATCGATTGGAATCATCATCAAATAGATTCGAATGGAATCATCATTTAATGGACTCGACTTGAATTATCAAATGGACACGAATGGAATCATTGAATGGACTCTCATGCAATCATCATCAATGGAATCGAATGGAAAAATCATCAAATGGAAAGGAAAGGAATCATCATCGAAGGGAATCAAATGGAATCATCAACAAATGGAATCGAATAGAATCATCAAATGAAATTGAATGGAATTATCATCGAAGGGAATTAAATGGAATCATCTTCGAATGGAATCATCATCGAATGGAATCAAATGAAATCATCATCGAATGGAATCGAATGGAATCCTCGACGAATTGAATCGAATGGAATCATCAAATGGAAACTAATGGAATCATCATCCAATGGAACCGAAAGGAATCATCATCAAGTGAAACCTAATTGAATCACCATCGAATGGAATTGCATGGAATCATCATCGAATGGACTCAAATGGAATCATCATCGAATGGAATCCAATGGAATCATCAACGATTGGAATTGAATGGAATCATCAAATGGAATTGAATTGAATGACCATCTTATGGAGTCGAAGGGAAACATCGAATGGAATCGAATGGAATCATTGAATGGAATCGAATTGAATCATAGAATGGACTCGAATGGAATCATCATCGAATGGAATCGAATGGAAACTTCAAATGGAATCGAATGGAATCATCATCGAATGGAATCGGATGGAGTCATCGAATGGACTCGAATAGAAACATCATCGAATGAAATCGAATGGAATCATCGAAAGGAATTGAATGGAATCCTCATTGAATGGTATCATCGAATGGAATGGAATGGAATCATCATCGAATGGAAACGAATGGAATCATAGAATGGTATCGAATGGAATCATAATCAAGTGGAATAGAATGGAATCGTCATCGAATGGAATTGAAAGCAAACATCGAATGGATTTGAACAGAATAATCGAATGGACACGAATGGAATCACCATCCAATGGAATAGAATGGAATCAACAAATGGAATCGAATGGAATCATCATCCAATGGAAACGAATCAAATCATCTAATGGACAGGAATGGAATCCTCATCAAATGGAATTGAATGGAATCATCATTGAATGGACTTGAATGGAATCATTGAATGGACTTGAATGGAATCATTGAATGGACTAGAATGCAAACATCATCAATGGAATTGAATGAAATCAAACTCAAATGGATTCCAAAGGAATCATCTTCGAATGGAATCAAATGGAATCATCGAATGCAATGGAATGGGATCATCATTGAAAGTAATCGAAGTGAATCATTGAATGGAATCGAATTGAGTCATCGAATTGAATCGAATGGAATCATCACCGAATGGACTCGAATGGAATCATCATGGGATGGGATCGAATGGAATAATTGAACGGACCTGAATGGAGTCATCAAATGGAATCAAATGGAATCATCATTGAATGAATTGAATGGAAACATCGATTGGAATTGAAAGGAATGATCATTGAATGGAATCCAATGGAATCATCGAGTGGAATCGAATGGAATTATCATCAAACGAAATCGAATGAAATCATCGAATGGCATTGGATGGAATCATCATTGAATGGAATCCAATGGAATCATTGAATGGACTAGAATGAAATCATCATCGAATGGAATCGAATGGAATCATTGAATGGACTCGAACTGAATCATCATTGAATGGAATCGATTGGAGTCATCATCGAATGGAATCAAATGGGATAATCATTGAATGGAATAGAATGGAATCATCTAATGGAATAGAAAGGAATCATCATCGAATGGAATCAAATAGAGTTATAGAATGAAATTGAATTGAACCATCATTGAATGTAATAGAATGGAATCGTCACCAAATGGAATTGAATGGAATCATCAACTAATGGAATTGAATGGAATCATCGAATGGAATCTAAAGGAATTATCATCGAATGGAACCGAATGGAATCATCATCAAATGGAATCGAATAGAGTTAAAGAAAGAAATCAAATGGAATCGTCATCAAATGGAATCAAATGAAACCATCATCAAATGTAATCGAATGGAATCATCATCGAATGGAATTGAATGGAATCATGGAATGGAATCTAATGGAATCTTCATCGTATGGAAGTGAGTGGAATCATCATCAAGTGGAACCAAATGGAGTCATCATCGAATGGAATCGAATGGAATCATCATTGAATGGAATCGAATGGAATCATCAACGAATGGAATGGAATGGAATCATCAAATGGAATCTAATGGTATCATCATCGTATGGAACCGAATGGAATCATCATCAAATGGCACCTAATGGAGTCATCATCAAATGGAATGGAATGGAATCAGCATCGAATGGAATCGAATGGAATCATCATCGAATGGTTGTGAATGGAATCAACATCGAATGCAATCAAATGGAATCATCGAATGGTATCGAATGGAATGATCATCGAATGGAATCGATGGGAATCATCGAATGGAATCGAGCGGTATGTTCGAATGGATTTGAATGGAATCATCGAATGGACACGAATGGAATCATCATCGAATGGAACCAAAAGGAATCATCGAAAGGAATCGAAAGGAGTCAACATCGAATGAAGGCGAATTGAATCATTGAATGGCATCAAATGGAATCATCATCGAATGGAATCGAATGGAATCATCATAGAATGGAAACGAAAGTAACCATCAAATGGCTTCAAACAGAATCATCGAATGGACACGAATGGAATCATTACCCAATGGAATGGAATGGAATCAACGAATGGAATCAAATGGAATCATCATCGAATTGAATCGATTGGAATCATCTAATGGAATGGAATGGAATCCTCATTGAATGGAATTGAATGCAATAATCGATTGGAAACGAATGGAATCCTCGTCGAATGGAAGGGAATGGAATCATCAAACGGAGTTGAATTTAATGATCATCGAATGTAATCAAATGGAGTCATTGTGGAATGGACTCGAAAGGAATCATCGAATGGACACCAATGGAATCATCAAATGGATTCGAATGCAATCATTATCAATGGAATCAAATGCAATGAAAATCATATAGAATCAAAAGGAATCATCATCGAAAGGAATCGAATGGAATCAGCATCAAATGGAAGCGAATTGAATCATTGAATGTAATCAAATGGAATCATCATTGAACGGAAGCAAATAGAATCATCGAGTGGAATAGAATGGAATCCTCATCTAATGGAATTGAATGGAATCATCAAATGGAATCGATTGGAATCATCATCAAAAGTATTCGAAGTGAATCACTGAATGGAATCGATTTGAATCATCAAATAGAATTGAATGGAATCATCATCAAATGGACTCGAATTGAATCATAATGGGATGGAAATGAATGGAATCATCGAATAGACTCAAATGGAATCCTCGATTGGACTTGAATGGAATCATCATCGAATGGATTCGAATGGAATCATCATCGAATGGAATCAAATGGAATCATCAAAGAATGGATGTGAATGCAATCATCATTGAATGAAATCAAATGAAATCATCGAATGGCATCGAATGGACGCATCATCGAATGGAAGAGAATGGAATCTTCAAATGGACACAAATGGAATAATCATCGAATGGAATTAAATGGAATCATTGAATGGACTCAAGTGGAATCATCATTGAATGGAATCGAATGGAAACATCATTGAATTGAATGAATGGAATCATCATCGAATTGAATCGAATGGAATCATTGAATGGAATCTAATGGAATCATCATAGTATGGAACCAAATGGAATCATCATCAAATGGAACCAAAAGGAGTCATCATCAAATGGAAATGAATGGAATCATCATCAAAAGGATTCGAATGGAATCATCATCGAATGGTTGTGAATGAAATCAGCATCGAATGCAATCGAATGGAATCATCGAACGGAATCGAATGGAATGATCATTGAATGGAATCGAAGGGAATCATTGAATGGAATGAAACGGTATGATCGAATGGAATCGTATGGAATCATCGAAAGGACATGAATGGAATCTTCACCGAATGGAATCAAATGGAATCATCAAATGGAATCAACATCGAATGGAAGTGAAAGGAATCATTGAATGGACTCGAATGGAATCATCATCAAATGGAATTGAATGGAATCATCATCGAATGGAATGAAGGGAATCATCATTGAATGGAATCGAATGGAATCATCATTGAATGGAATCGAATGGAATCATCGAATGGAATAGAATGGAATCATCATCAAATGGTATCGAAGAGAATCATCAAATGAAATCGAATGGAATCATTGAATGGACTTGAATGGAATCATCATCGAATGGAATCAAATGGAATCATCGAATGAACTCCAATTGAATCACCCTCAATTGAAATCATACGGAATTTTCGAATGGAATCGAATGGAATCATCATCGAATAGAGTTGAATGGAATCATCGAGTGAACTCGAATGGAATCATCATTAAATGGAATCGAATGGAATCATCGAATGGACTCGAATGGAATCATCATCAAATGGAATCAAATTTAATCATTGAATGGACTCGAATGGAATCATCATCAAATGGAATCGAATGGAATCCTCAAATGGACACGAAAGGAATCGTCATTGAACGGAATCGAATGCAATCATCGAATGGAATCGAATGGAATCATCATCGAATGGAATTGAAGGGAATCATCATAGAATGGAATTGAATGGAATCATCAATGAATGGAATGGAATGGAATCATCATCAAATGAAATCGAATGGAATCATGGAATGGCATCGAATGGAATGATCATCCAATGGAATCAAATGGAATCATCGAATGGACCCAAATGGAATCATCATCGAATGGAATCGAATGGAATCATTTAATGGACTCGAATGGAATCATCATCGAGTTGGATCGAATGAAATCATCATCGAGTTGAATCGAATGGAATTGTAGAATGGACTCGAATGGAATCATCATTGAATAGAATCGATTAGAATCATCGAATGGATTCGAGTGGAATCATCAAATGAAGTCTAATGGAATCATCGAATTTACTCGAAAGGAATCTTCATCGAACTGAATTGAATGGAATCATCATCGAATGGAATCGAATGGAAACACAATCAAATGAAATAGAATGGAATCATTGAATAACATAGGATGGAATCATCATAAAATGGAATCAAATGAAATCGTCATTGAATGGAATAGAATGGAATCATCATCGAATGGAATTGAAGAGCATTATCCAATGAAATTGAATTGAATCATCATTGAATGGAATCGAATGGAATCATCATTGATTGGAATCGAATGGAACAATCCATGAACGGAATCGAATGGAATCATCGAATGGAATCTATTGGAATCATCAGCGAATTGAACTGAATGGAATAATCATCAAATGGAACCTAAAGGAGTCATCATCGAATGGAATCGAATGGAATCATCAATGAATGGAATCCAATGGAATCATCATCAAATGGAATCAAATGGAATCATCATCGAATGGAATCGAATGGAATCATCGAATGGAATCGAATGGAATGATCATCAAATGGAATCTAAGGGAATCATCAAATGGATTCGAATGGTATCATTGAATGGAATTGAATGAAATCATCGAATGGATACAAATGGAATCATAATCAAATGGAAAGGAATGGAATCACCAAATGGACTCTCATAGAAACGTCATCAAATGGAATCATCGAATGGAATTGAATGGAATCATCATTAAATGGAATAGAGTGGAGTCGTCAAATGAAATCAAAAGGAATCATCATCGAGTGGAATCTAATGGAATCATCATCGAATGGAATCAAATAGAATCATCCAATGGAATTGAATGGAATCATCATCAAATGGAATCGAATGGAATCATCGAATGGAATCAAATGGAATCATCATATGGACTTGAATGGAATCATCATCGGATCGAATCAAACGGATGATTCCATCGAATGGAATCGAATGGAATCAACATTGGATGGAATCGAATGGAATCACTGAATGAACTTGAATGGAATCATTGTGTGGATTCAAATGGAATGATCGTATGGGATCATGTGGAATCATCGAATGGTCTCAAATGGTATCATCATTGAATGGAATCAAATGGAATCATCAAATGGAATTGAATGGAATCATCATCGAATGGATTCGAATGGAATCATTGAATGGACTCGAATGGAATCATTTTCGAATGGAATCTAATGGAAACATCGAATGACTTGAAAGGAATCATAATCGAGTGGAATCGAATGGAATCATTGAATGCAATTGAACAGAATCATCATCGAATAAAATCGAATGTAATCATCGAATGGCATCGGATGGAATCATCATCGAATGGAATTGAATGAATTCATTGAATGGACCCTAATGGAATCATCATCGAATTGAATCAAATGGAATCATGAAATGGACTCGAATGGAATCATCATTCAATGGAATGGAATGGAAACATCATCGAATGGAATCGAATGGAATCATCATTGAATGGTATCGAATGGAATCATCGAATGCAATAGAAAGGCATCTCAGTGAATGGAATCAAATAGACTTACAGAATGAAATCCAATTGAATCATCATCAAATGGAATCGAATGGAATCATCACCAAATGGAATCCAATGGAATCATCATCGAATGGAACACAATGGAATCATCATATGGAATCTAATGGAGTCATCGTCATATGGAATTGAATGAAATCATGATCGAATGGAATTGAATGGAATCATAATCGAATGTAATCCAATGGAATCACCATTGAATGGAATCGACTGGAATCATCGAATGGAATCGAATGGAATAATCATTGAATGGAATCAACGGGAATCATCAACTGTAATCTAATGGCATCATCAAATGGAACTGAATGGAATCATCGAATGGACTCGAATGGAATGATCATCGAATGGAATCGGATGGAATGATCTAATGGACTAGAATGGAATCATCATTGAATAGAATCGAATGGAATTATCAAATGGACTCGAAAGGAATTACCATGGAATGGAATCGAATGGAAACATTATCAAATGGAAACGAATAGAATCATCAAATGAAATCGAATGGAATCATCATCAAATGGAATCCAATGGAATCAACATCGAATGGACTCAAATGGAATCATCATCGAATGGAATCAAAAAGAATCATCATCAAATGGATTCGAATGGAATCATCAATGAATGGAATGGAATGGAATTATTGAATGGAATCTAACGGAATCATCATTGAATGGAACTGAATGGAATCATCCTCTAATGGAAACTAACGGTGTCATCAACAAATGGATTCGAATAGAATCATCATCGAATGGCATCATATGGAATCAGCATCAAATGGAATCGAATGGAATCATTATCGAATGGAATGAAATGGAATCATCGAATGGAATGAAATGGAATCATCGAATGGAAACGAATGGAATCATTGAATGGAATAGAATGGAATCATCGAATGGACTCCAATGGAATCATCATCGAATTGAATCAAATAGAATCATCGTTGAATGGACTCGAATCAAATCATTGAATGGACTCAAATGCAATCGTCCTCAATTGAATTGAATGGAATCATCATCAAATTGAATCAAAAGGAATCATCATCAAAAGGAAACGAATGCAATCATCATCAAATGGAATCAAAAGGAAGCATCATCAAACGGAATCAAATGGAATCATCATTGAATAAAATTGAAAGGAATCATCGAATGGAATCATCATCAAAAGGAATCGAAGTGAGTCATCGAATGGAATCAAACTGAATCATCAAATGGTATCGAATGGAATCATCATCGAATGGAGTGGAAGGGAATCAACATCAAATGGAATAGAATAGAATCATTGAATGAACTCAAATGGAATCATCATCGAATGGACTCGAATGGAATCATCATCTAATGGACTCAAATGGAATGATCGAATGGACTCGAATGGAATTATTGATTGGACCCAAATGGAATTATTTAATGGGCTCAACTAGAAATATCGAATGGACTTGAATGGATTCATTATCAAATGGAATTAAATGGAATCATCAAAAGGAATCAAACAGAATCATCAAATGGAATCGGTCAGAATCATCATCGAATGGAATCAAATGGAATCATCGAACAGAAACTAATGCAGTCATCATCAAATGGAATCGAATGGAATCATCATCAAATAGAATCGAATGGAATCATCAAAAGGATTTGAATGGAATCATCGTCGAATGTAATCGAATGGAATCATCGAATGGAATCACCGAATGGAATTGAAAGAATCAGCATCGAACAAAATCGAATGGAATCACCATAGAATAGAATCGAATGGAATCATTGAATGGATTCATCATCAAAGGGAGTCCAATGGAATCATCAAATGGACTCGAATGGAATCATCGAATGGACTCGAATGGAATCATTGAATGGAGTTGAATGAAATCATTATTGAATGGAATCAAATGAAATCATCATCAAATGGAATTGAATGGAATCAACACTGAATGGAATCAAATGGGATCATTGAATGGAATCAGATAGAATCATAATCGAATGAAATCAAATAGAAGCATCGAATGAAATCGACTGGAATCATCATCGAATGCAGTCGAATGGAATCATCATGAATGGAACCTAATGGAATAATCAACGGATTGAATCAAATGGAATCATCAAATGGAATCCAAAGGAATCATTATCAAACGGAAATGAATGGAATCATTAAACGGACTTGACTGGAATCATCAACGAATGGAATCAAATGGAATCATCATCAAATGGAAACGAGTGGAATCATCCAATGGACTAAAATGGTATCATCATTGAATGGAATCGAATGGAACCATCACTGAATGGAATCAAATGGAACCATCGAATGGAATCTGATGGAATCATCATTGAATGGAATCGAATAGAAGCATTGAATGAAATCGAATTGAATCATCATCAAACAGATTCAAATGGAATCATCATCGAATGGACTCGAATGGAATCATCATCGAATGGAATCTAATGGAATCATCATCGAATGGAACCGAATGGAAACATCATTGAATTGAATCAAATGGAATCATCATGGAATTGAATCGAATGGCTCATCATCAGATGGAATCAAATGGAATCATCGAATGGAATCGAATGGAATCATCATCGAGTGGAATCAAAAGGAATCATCAAATGGAATTGAATGGAATCATCATTGAATGGAATCGAATGGAAACATCAAATGAAATCGAATGGAATCATCATCGAATAGAGTCAAATGAAATCATCCTTGAATGGAATCTAATGGAAAAATGAAAGAAGGGAATCGAATGGAATCATCATTGAATGGACACGAATGGAATCATCATCGAATGGACACGAATGGTGTCATCAAATGGACTCAAGTGGAATCATCAAAAGGACTAGAATGGAATCATCGAATGGAAACGAATGGAATCATCATCAAATGGAATGTTATGGAATCATCGAATTGCTTCTAATGGAATCCTCATCAAATGGAATCATCGAATGGTGTCAAATGGAATAGTCATCAAATGAAATCGAATGGAACCATCGAATGGCATCAAATGGAATCATTATCAAATGGAATCAAATGGAATCATCTAACGGACTCATATGAAATCATCATCGAATGGAATCAAGTGGAATCATAGAATGGACACCAGTGGAATCATCATTGAATGGAATCAAATGGAATCAACATCAAAAGGAATCGAATAGAATCATCACAGAATGGAATCGAACGGAATCATCGAATGGAATAGAAGGGAATCATCATTGAATGGAATCAAACAGAATCATCGAATGGAATCGAATGGAATCATCATCAAATGGAATCTAATGGAATCATCATCAAATGGAATCAAATGGAATCATCAACAAATGGAATCACATGGAATCATTGAATGGAAACTAATGGAATCATCATCACAAGGAACCGAATGGAATCGAATAGAATCATCATCCAATGGAATCGAATGGTATCACCGATTTGAATGGAATGATCATCGAATGGAATCAAAAGGAATCATCGAATGGGAATGAAAGGACTCATAGAATGGGATTGAATGGAATAATCGAACGGAATCGAATGGAATCATCATATGGATTCGAATGGAATCATCATCGACTGCAATCGAATGGAATCATCATCGACTGGAATCGAATGGAATCATCATCAAATGTTATCGCATGGAATCATCAACGAATGGAATCGAATGGAATCATCAAATGGCATAGAATGGAATAATCATCAAATGGAATGGAAGGTAATCATTGAATGGAGACGAATGGAATCATCATTGAATGGAATCGAATGGAATTTTCAAATGGACTCGATTGGAATCATCATCGAATGCAATCAAATGGAATCATCATCGAATGAAATCAGATGAAATCATCATCAGATGGAATCGAATGGAATCATCACTGAATGGAATGGAATGGAATCATTGAACAGAATCAGATGGAATCATCATTGAATGGAATCAAACAGAAACATCGAGTGAAATCGAATGGAATCATCAACAAATGGACTTGAATGGAATCATCATTGAATGGACTCGAATGGTATCTTCATCGAATGCATTCGAATGGAGTGATCATCGAATGATCTCGAATGGAAACATCATCGAATTGAATCAAAGGGAATCATCATGAAATTGAATCGAATGGCTCATCGAATGGAATCGAATTGAATCATCATCGAATGGAATCGAATGAAATCATCGAATGGACTCGAATGCAATCACTGAATGGACTTGAGTGGAATAATCATCTAATGGGATAGAATGGAATCATCGAATGGACTCGAATGGAATTATCATTGAATGGAACAGAATGGAATCATAGAATGAACTCAAATGGAATCATCATCGAATGGACTCGAATGGAATCATTGAAAGTATTCGAAAGGAATCATCATCGAATGGAAGCCAATGGAATCATCGAATGGAATTGAATGGAATCATCATTGACTGGAATTGAATGGAATCATCGAATGGACTCGAATGGAATCATCATGGAATGGAATCAAATGGAATTATCGAATGGAATCGAATGGAATCAACTTTGAATGGAATTGAAGGGAATCATCGAAAGGAATCAAAAGCAATCATCATCGAATAGAATCGAATGGAATCATCAAATGGAATTGATTGGAATCACCATTGAATGGACTTGAATGGAATCATCATCATATGGAAACATATGGAATCATCGAATGGACACGAATGGAATCATCATCAAATGGAATCAAGTGGATCATTGAATGGAATCTAATGGAATCATTGTCAAAAGGAATGGAATGGAATCATTGAATGGAAATTAATGGAATCACCAATGAATGGAATCAAATGGAATCATCATAGAATGGAATAGAATGGAATCATGGAATGGACTCGAATGGAATCATCATCAAATGGAAACCTGTGGAACCATCGAATGAACACGAAATGAATCATAATAGAATGGAATCAAAAGGAATCATCACTGAATGCAATCACATGGAATCATCACCCAATGGAATCGTACGGAATCATCATCGAATGGAATTGAATGGAATCATCAATTGGACTCGAATGGAATCATCAAATGGAATCAGATGGAAGCATCGAATAGACTCGAATGGAAGCATCATCAAATGGAATAGTATGGAATCATCGAAAGGACTCGAATTGAATCATAAAATGGACTCGAACAGAATAGTTATAGAATGGAATAGAATAGAGTCATCAGAAAGACTCGAATGGAATCATCATTGAATGGAATCAAATGGAATCAATGAATGCACTCGAATGGAATCATTATCAAATGGAATTGAATGGAATCATCGAATGGACTCGAATGGAATCATCATCAAATGGAATACATTGGAATCATCAAATGGAATGGAATGGAATTATCAGATGGAATCGAATGGAATCATCTTTGAATGAAATCGAATGGAATCATCAAATGGAATTGATCAGAATCATCATCAAATGGAATCAAATGAAATCATCGAATGGAATCAAATGCAATCATCATCGAATGGAATCGAATGGAATTATCATCGAATAGAACAGAATGGAATCATCGAATGGAATCGAATGGAATCATCATCGAATGGAATTGAATGGAATCAAATGAAATCATCGAATGGAATCGAATGCAATCATCATCGAATGGTATCGAATGGAATTATCATTGAATAGAATAGAATGCAATCATCAAATGGAATCGAATGGAATCATCATTGAATGGAATCAAATGGAATCATCGTGTGTAATCCAATGGAATCAACATCGAATGGAATCAAATGGAATCATTATTGAATAGAATCAAATGGAATCATTGAATGGAGTCATCATCAAATGGAGTCCAATGGAATCATCGAATTGACTCGAGTGGAATCATCATTGAATGGAATCGAATAGAATCATCAAATGGAATCGAATGGAATCATCATCAAATGGAATTGAAGGATATCATTGAATGCACTCAAATGGAATAATCAACGAATGGAATCTAATGGTATCATTGAATGGAATTGACTGGAATCATCTTCGAGTGGAATCTAAAGGATTCACTAAGTGGACTCCAATGGAATAATCATCAAATGGAATCGAGTGGAATCATCGAATATACTCGAATTGTATCATCGAATGGAAACGAATGGAATCATCGAATGGATTCAAATGGAATAGTCATCAAATGGAATTAAGTGGAATGATCGAATGGACTCAAATGGAATCATCATCGAATGGATTTGAATGGAATCATCGAATACACTCGAATGGGATCATCATTGAATGGAAATGAATGGAATCATCAAATGGACACTAATGGAATCATTGTCGAATGGAATCATATGGAATCATCGAATGGACTCGAATGCAATCATCAAATAGAATCGAATGGAATCATCGAATGGAATCAAATAGAATCATCGAATGGACTCGAATGGAGTGATCAAAAGGACTCGAAAGGAATTATCGAATGGACCCTAATGGAATCATCAAATGGAAAAGAATGGAATCATCAAATGGACTCGAATGGAATCATCGAATGGACTCGAATGGAATCATCAAATGGACTCGAAAGAAATTATCGAATGGACTCAAATGGAATCATCGAATGGACTCTAATGGAATCATCAACGAATGGAAAAGAATGGAATCATCAAATGGACTCGAATGGAATCATTGGACTCGATGGAATCATCGAATGGAGTCTAATGGAATCATCATTGAATGGAATCAAATGGAATTGAATGCAATCATCTAATGGAATCTAACGGAATAATCATCGAACAGAATCAAATGGAATCATCATTGAATGGAATTGAATGGAATCTTCGAATAGACATGAATGGACCATCATCGAATGGAAAAGAATGGAATCATCAAACGGACTCGAATGTAATCATCATCGAAGGGAATCGGATGGAATCATCATCAAATGAAATTGAATGGAGTCATCGAATGTCATCGAATTGAATCATCACTGAATTGAGTTGAATGGAATCATCGAATGGACTCGAATGGAATCATCATAGAATGGAATCGAATGGAATCATTGAATAGCATCGAATGGAATCATCGTTGAATGGAGTCAAATGGAATCATCAAATGGACTCGAATGGAATCATCATAGAATGTAATCAAATGGAATCTTCGAATGGACACAAATGGAATCATCATAGAATGTAATCAAATGGAATCTTCGAATGAACTCAAATGGAATCATCATAGAATGGAATCGAATGGAATCATCGAATGGAATATAATTGAATCATCATCAAATGGAATCGAATGGAATCATCAACGAATGGAATCATAGAATGGAATCCAATTTAATCATCTTCGAATTGAAACCAATGGAATCATTAAATGGACTCGAACGGAATCATCATTGAATGGAATCGAATGGAATCATTGAATGTAATCAAATGGAATCATCGAATGGACTCAAATGAATCATCATCGAATGGAAGCGAATTGAATCATCGAATGGACTCGAATGAAATCATCATCGAATGGAATTGAAAGGAATCATCAAATGGACTTGAATGAAATCACTGAATGGACTCGAAAGGAATAATCATCGAATGGTATTGAATGGAATCATTGAATTTACTCGAATGGAGTAATCATCAAATGAAATTTAATGGAATAATTGAATGGAATAGAATGGAATCATCATTGAATGGAATCAAATGGAATCGTCATCGAATGGAATCAAATGGAATCATCATCGAATGGAACCAAATGGAATCATTAGAGAATGGAATCAAAAGGAATCATCATGGAATAGATTAGAATGGAATCATCAAATGGAATGGAATGGAATCATCATGGAACGGAATCGAAGGGAATCATCGAATGGAATCGAACGGAATCATTGAATGGAATCGAATGGAATCATCATGGAATGGACACAAACGGAATTATCATAGAAAGGAATTGAATGGAATCATTGAATGGAATCAAAAGGAATAATCGAATGGACTCCAATGGAATCATCTAATGGAATCGAATGGAATCATTGAATGGACTCGAATGCAGTCATCATCAAATGAAATCGGATGGAATCAACGAAGGAACTCGAATGAAATCATCGAATGGACTCGAATGGAATAATCGAATTGACTCGAATGGAATTATTGAATGGACTCGAATGGAATCATCAAATGGGCTCTAGTGGAATCATAATCAAATGGAATCGAATGGAATCATCAAATGGACTCAAATGGAATCATTGGATGGACTCGAATGAAATCATCGAATGGACTCGAATGGAATCATCATTGAATGGAATCGAATGGAATCCTCGAATAGAATCAGATGGAATCATCAAATAGAATCAAACGGAATCATCATCAAACGGAATCGAATGGAATGATCGAATGGAATCAAAGGCAATCATCATCAACTGGAATCAAATGGAATCATTGAATGGAATCAAATGGAATCAATGTCAAGTGGAATTGAGTGGAATCATCGAAAGAAATCAAATGGAATCATTGTCGAATGGAATGGAATGCAATCAAAGAATGGAATTGAATAGAATCACCAATGAATTGAATTGAAAGGAATCATCATCGAATGGAATTGAAGAGAGTCATTGAATGGACTCGAATAGTATCATTATCGAGTGGAATTGTGTGGACTCATGTAATGGGCACGAATAGAATCATCATCGAATATAATCGAAAGGAATCTTCTAATGTACTCGAATGGAATCATCATTGAATGGAATAGAATGGAATCATCGAATGGAATTGAACGGAATCATCATCGTATGGAATCGAGTGGAATCATCAAATGGACTCGAATGTAATCATTGGAGAATGGAGTCAAATGGAATCATCAAATGGACTCGAATGGAATCATCATCGAATGGAATCAAATGGAATCATTGAATGGACTCGAATGGAACCATCACCGAATATAATCAAAAGTAATCATCAAATGGATTCGAATAGAATCATCGAATGGACTCGAATGGATAAATCATCAAATAGAATCAAATGGAATCATCAAATGGACTCGAATGAAATCATCATTGAACGGAATCAAATGGAATCATCGAATGGAATGGAATGGAATCATCATCGAATGGAATCAAATGGAATCACTGAATGGAATCAAATAGGATCATCGAATGGAATTGAATGGAATCATCATTGAATGGAATCGAATGTAATCACTTTATGGACTCGAATGCAATCATCATTAAATGGAATTGAAAGGAATCATCTAATTGACTTGAAAGGAATCATCTAATGGACTCGAAAGGAATCATCATTGAATAAAATCGAATGGAATCACCGAATGGAGATGAAAGGAATCATCATCGAATAGAATCAAATGGAATCATGGAATGGACTCAAAAGGAATATCGTCGAATGGAATCAAAAGCCATCATCGAATGGACTGAAATGGAATTATCGGATGGACTCGAATGGAATCACCAAATGAACTTGAATGGAATCATCATCGAATGGACTCGAATGGAATCATCATCGAATGGACTCAAATGGAATGATTGAATGGACTTGAATGGAATCATGGATTGGACTCAAATGGAATCATTATGGAATGGAATGAAATGGAATAATCAGATGGAATTGAATGGAATCATCTAATGTAATCGATTGGAATCTTCATCGAGTGGAATAAGATGGAATCATCGTATGGAATCGAATGCAGTCATCATCGAATGGACTCAAATAGTATCATCATCGAATGGAATTGAATGGAATCATCAAATGGATTTGAATGGAATCATCACCGAATGGAATCGAATGGAATCATAGAATTGAATAAAATGGGATCATCATCGAATGGAATCAAATAGAATCATTGAATGAAATCGAATGTAATCATCATCAAGTGGAATCTAAAGGAGTCATCGAATTGAATAGAATGGAATCATCGAATGGAATCGAATAGAATCATTGAAATCGAATGGAATCATCATCGAGTGGAGTCGAATGGAATCATCAATTAATGGAATCGAATGGAATCATAGAATGGAATCCAATGTAATCATCATCGAATTGAACCCAAAAAATCATGAAATGGACGCGAATGGAATCATCGAATGGACTCGAATGGAATCATCATCAAATGGAATCGAATGGAATCATTGAATGGACTCAAATGGAATCATCATCAAATGGAATTGAAAGGAATCATCGAATGGACTTGAATGGAATCATTGAATGGACTCAAAAGGAATCATCATTGAAGGCAATCAAATAGAATCATTGAATGACATCGAATGGAATCATCATCAAATGGAAACGAATGGAATCATCGAATGGACTCGAATGGAAACACCATTGAATGGAATCGAATGGAATCATCTTTGAATGAAATCAAATGGAATCGTCAAATGGACTCGAATGCAATCATCATCGAATGGAATCGAATGCAAGCATTGAATGGATTCGAATGGAATCATCATTGAATGGAATTGAATGGAATCATCGAACGGAATTGAATGGAATCATTGAATGGCATTGAATGGTATCATCATTGAGTGGAATCATCGAATGGAACCGAATGGAATCGTCATCAAATGAAATAGAAGGGAATCATCAAATGGCATCGAAAGGAATCATCATCCAATGGAATCAAATGGAATAATGTAACGGACTTGTTTGGAGTCATCATCGAATAGAATTGAGTGGAATCATCGAATGGACATGAATGGAATCATCATCGAATGGAATCAAATGGAATCATCATCAAATGGAGTCAAATACAATCATCATAGAATGGAATCGAATGGACATGAATGGAATCATCATCGAATGGAATCAAATGGAATCATCATCAAATGGAGTCAAATACAATCATCATAGAATGGAATCGAATGGAATCATTGAATGGAATAGAATGGAATCATCATCGAATGGAATAAAATAGAATCATAGAATGAAAACAAATGGAATCATCATCAAATGGAATCGAATGGAATCATCAACAAATGGAATCGCATGGAATCATCTAATGGAATCTAATGGAATCATCATCACATGGAACCGAATGGAACCATCATGGAGTGGAATCTAATGGAATAATCATCGAATGGAATCCAATGGGATCACTGAATTGAATGGAGTGATCATCAAATGGAATCAAAGGGAATCATCAAATGGGATCGAAAGGAATCATCAAATGGAATCAAATGGAATCATCAAATGGACTCGAGTGGAATCATCATTGAATGGAATCAAATGGAATCATTGAAAGGATACGAATGGAATCATCATTGAATGGAATCCAATGGAATCATCGAATGGACTAAAATGGAAATATCACCAAATGGAACCATATGGAATCATCGAATGGCATTGAATAGAATCACCAGTGAATGGTATCTAAGGGAATAATCAAATGGACTCGAATGGAATCATCTAATGGACTCGAGTGGAATCATCATCGAATGGAATTGTATGGAATCATCGAATGGACTCAAATGGAATCATCATCGAATGGAATCGAATGGAATCATCGAATGGACTCGAATGGAATCATCATCAAATGGAATCTAATGGAATCTGAGAATGGACTCGAATGGAATCATCAACAAATGGAATCGAATGGAATCATCGATTGGCATCGAATGGAATCATCATGGAATGGAATAGAATGGAATCATCGAACGGACTCGAATGGAGTCATGATCGAATGGAATCAAATTGAATTTTTGAATCGACTCAATTGAAATCATTGAATGCAAGTGAATGGAATCATCCTCAAATGGAATCGAATAGAATCATCATTGAATGGAATCAAATGGAATCATCATCGAATGGAATCGAATGGGATCATCATCGAATGGAATAGAATGGAATTATCCAATGGAATAGAATGGAATCATCATCGAATGGGATCAAATGGAATCATCGAATGAAATTGAATGGAATCATCATCGAATGGAATAGAATGGAATCATCATTGAATGGAATCGAATGGATTCATCATCTAATGTAATTGAATGGAATCATCATCGAATGGAATCGAATGGAATCATCATCGAATGGAATCGAATGGAATCATCCAATGTAACAGAATTGAATTTTCATCAAATGGAATCAAATATAATCATCGAATGAAATCGAATGGAATAATCATTGAATGGAATCGAACGGAATCATCAACGAAAAGAATCGAATGGAATCATAGAATGGAATCCAATGTAATCATCATCGTGTTGAACTCAATGGAATCATTAAATGGACCCGAATGGAATCATTGAATGGACTCGAATGCAATCACCATCAAATGGAATAGAATGGAATCATTCAATGGAATTAAATGGAATCATCATCGAATGAAATCAAATGGAATCCTTGAATGGACTCAAATGGAATCATCATCGAATGGAATCAAATGGAATCATTGACTGGACTCGAATGGAATCATCATCGAATGGACTTAAAAAGAATTATTGAATGGACTCGAATGGAATCTTCATCGAATGGACTCAAATGGAATGATCGAACGGACTCGAATGGAATCATGGATTGGACTCAAAAGGAATAATTGAATGGACTCGAATGGAATCATTATCGAATGGAATCAATTGGAATCATCGAATGGAATCAAATGAAATAATCGAACGTAATTGATCGCAATCATCATCGAATTGAATCAAATGTAATCATCGAATGGAATCAAATGCAGTCATCATCCAATGGAATCTAATGGAATCATCATCGAATAGAATTGAAAGGAATCATTGAATGGAATCGAGTGGAATCATCCTCAAATATAATCTAATGGAACCTTCGAATGGAATCAAATGGAATAATCAAATGGAATTGAATGGAATCAGCATCGAATGATACCAAATGGAATCATCATCGAATAGAATCAAATGGAATCATTGAATGGAATCATCATCAAATGGAGTCAAATGGAATCATCAAATGGACTCCAATGGAATCATCATAGAATGGTATTGAATGGAATCATCATGTGAAATCGAATGGATTCATCATTGAATGGGATCGAATGGTACCATGGAATGCACTCAAATGGAATCATCAATGAATGGTATCAAATGGTATCATCGAATGGTATCAACTGGAATCATCTTCAATTGAAATCAAAAGGAATCACCGAATGGACTCGAATGGAATAATCATCAAAAGGAATCAAATGGAATCATTGAATGGAATCCAAAGGAATCATCATCAAATGGAACCGAATGGAATCATCATCGAATGGAACCGAAAGGAGTCACCATCGAATAGAATTGCATGGAATCATCATCGAATGGAATCAAATGGAATCATCATCAAATGGAATCGAATGGAATCATCGAATGGAATTGAATGGAATCATCGAATGGACTCGAATGGAATCATCATTGTATGGAATTGAATGGAATCATTGAATGGAATCGAATGAATCATCATCGAATGGCATCAAATGGAATCATCATCGAATGGAATAGAAAAGAATCAACATCAAATGGAGATGAAAAGAATCATCATTGAATGGAATCCAAAGGAATCATCATCGAATGGAACCGAATGGAATCATCATCGAATGGAACCGAAAGGAGTCACCATCGAATGGAATTGCATGGAATCATCATCGAATGGAATCGAATGGAATCATCATCAAATGGAATCGAATGGAATCATCGAATGGAATTGAATGGAATCATCGAATGGAATTGAATGGAATCATCATGGAATGAATTGAATGGAATCATTGAATGGTCTCGAATGGAATCATTATCAAATGGAATTGAATGGAATCGCTGAATAGAATCGAATGGAATAATCATCGAATGGACTCGAATGGAATTATCATCAAATGGAATAGAATGGAATTATCGAATGGAATCGAATAGAATCATCGAATGGACTCGAATGGAATCATCAAATGGAATGGAATGAAATAATCAATGAACTCGAATGGAATCATCATTGAATGGAATCGAATGGAATCATCAAGTGGAATCAAATGGTATCATGTTCAAATGGAATTGAATGGAATCATCATCGAATGGAATCGAAAAGAATCATCATCAATTGGAATTGAATGGAAACGTCGTTAAATGGAATCCAAAGGAATCATCATCGAATGCAACCGAATGGAATCATCATTGAATGGAAACGAAAAGAGTCATCATCGAATGGAATCACATGGAATCATCATTGAATGGAATCAAATGGAATCATCATCAAATGGAATCAAATGGAATCATCGAATGGAATTGAATGGAATCGTCATCGAATGAATTGAATGGAATCATCGAATGGTTTCAAATGGAATCATCTTCAAATGGAATCGAATGGAATCACCAAATAGAATCGAATGGAATTATCATGGAATGGACTCAAATGGAATCAACATCCAACGGAATCAAACGGAATTATCGAATGGAATCGAAGAGAATCATCGAATGGACTAGAATGGAATCATCGAATCGAATGGAATGGAATAATCCATGGACTCGAATGCGATCATCATTGAATGGAATCGAATGGAATCATCGAATGGACTCAAATGGAATAATCATCAAATGGAATCGAATGGAGTCATCATCGGATGGAAATGAATGGAATCATCATTGAATGGAATCAAATGGAATCATCAAATGGAATCGGATGGAATCTTCATCAAATGGAATCGAATAGAATTATGGAATGAAATCGAATGTGATCATCATCGAATGGACTCGAATGGAATCATCATCCAATGGAAAGTAATGGAATCAACATCAAATGGAATTGAATGGAAACACCATCGAATTGAAACGAATGGAATTATCATGAAATTGAAATGGATGGACTCATCATCGAATGGATTCGAATGGAATCATCGAATGGAATTGATTGGAATCATCTTCAAATGGAATCGAATGGCATCATTGAATGGAAACGAATGGAATCACCATAGAATGGAATCGAATGGATTCATTGAATGGAATCAGATGGAATCATCGAATGGACTTGGATGGAATCATCGAATGGACTCGAATGGAATCATTATTGAATGGAATTGAATGGAATCATCGAATGGTCTCGAATGGAATCATCTTCGAATGGAATCGAATTTAATCATCGAATGGAATGGAATGGAATCATCATCGAATGGAATCGAATAGAATCAGCATCAAATAGAATTGAATGGAATCATCATCAATGGAATCGAATGGAACTTTCTTCAAATGGATTTGAATGGAAACATCAACGAATAGAATCGAATGGGATCATCAAATGAAAATGAATGGAATCATCATCAAAAGGAATCAAAATAAAACAAAGAATGGAATCCAATGGAATCATCGAGTGGAATCAAATGGAATCATCATTCAATTGACTCGAATGGAGTCATCATCAAATGGAATCAAACGGAATCATTTAATGGACTCGAATGGAATCATTGAATGGACTCGAATGGAATCATTGAATGGAATCTAGTGTAATCATCATCGAATGAAATCAAATGGAATCATCGAATGGAATCGAATGGAATCATCATCGAATGGAATTGAATGAAATCATGGAATGCACTTGAATGGAATCATAGAATGGACTCAAATGGAATGAACATTGGAATCAAAACAAAACATCAAATGGAGTTGAAAGGAATAATCAAATGGAGTCATCATCAAATGGAATAGAATGGAATCATCGAATGGACCCAAAAGGAATCATCATCGAATATAATCAAATGCAATCATTGAATGGAATCCAATGGAATCATCATTGAATCTAATCGAATGGAATCATCATCAAATGGAATTGAATGGAATCATCATCAAACGGAATTGAATGGAATCATCAATGAATGGAATCGAATGGAGTCATCGAATAGAGTCCGTTAGAATCATCATCGAATAGAACGGAATGCAGTCATCATCTAATGGAATCAAATGGAATCATCGAATGGACTCGATGGAATCATCATTGCATGGAATCGAATGGAATCATCGAATGGACTCAAATAGAATCATCATCAAATGGAATCGAATGGAATCATCAATTGGACACGAATGGAATCACCATCGAATGGAATCGAATGGAATCTTCGAATGGAATTGAATGAAATTATTGAATGCAATTGAATAGAATCATCATTGAATATAATCGAATTGGATCATCATCGAAAGGAATCTAATGAAATCATCATCGAATGGAATCTAGTGGAACCATCATCTAATGGAATCGAATGGTGCAACCGAATGGAATCCGTTAGAATCATCATCGAATGGAAACGAATGCAGTCATCATAGAATGGAATCGAATGGAATCAACGAAGGGACTCGCATTGTGTCATTATTGAATGGAATCGGATGGAATCATCGAATGTACTCGAATGGAATCATCATCGAATGGAATTGAATGGAATCATCAAATGGACTCGAATGGAATCATTGAATGGACACGAATGGAATCATCATCTAATGGAATCGAGTGGAATCCTCGAATGGAATCAAATGGAATCATCAAATGGAATCAAACAGATTTCTAAGAAACTTACTTGATCCAAAAAATAGAAAAACAAACAAACCAAAACCCCCTAAAATTGTGAAGAGCAAAGTAGACGTCAGAAGAGGAAATATCACTGGGGATGAAGAATAACATTTCAAAATGACAAAGGGGAAAATACACCAAGAAGTCATGTAAATAAGAAATATGTATGCACACAATAGCAGTACTTCAAAATACATAATATAAAACCTATTAAAACTGAAAGGTAAAATAGTAAAACCACAGTCATCCATGGGGATTTCAACAGTCTCCTGCCAGAAATTTTTAAATTTTGTTAAACGAAGAGTTGGTAAGGGTAGAGAGGATCTTAAAAATATAATTAGCCAACATGATCTAGTTGAATCTTTTAGAATAATCTAAGGATGAGGAATGAAGTAGCAGAGAGAGAAAAGGCAGACATCAACGTGACATTAGTGTTTCAAGGCTATGAGAATACACCAATAATGGTGTGTGTGTGTGCAGATGGTAAGCTCAATCTTAAAAATATTGAGTTTTAACTGACAATTCATTATTAGGAAAGATAAGAGGAAATGATATCTAGTGAGAGGCTATATGACTGAACTCTAAGAGAAAGGTCACAGCAGAAATTGTGTACTTGACAGCTCTATAAGAAGGTCAGTCAAAAATAAGTCAGTGATGAATTCTCTGGTGTAAAAGCAGAGGAATGAGGATTAGATTTAAAACACATGGAAGCAGAGTGACTTATGATAAAAACATGAGCTTGAAAATCCTGCAGAGAGGGCTTTAAATCCTGGGTATGATATTCTGCTTGTGTAGGCAATAGTGATAAAAACACAACAACAAAGAGAGGTAAAGAGCACTTTCCTTTGATATAAGTAAAGGGCACGTCTTATTGCACATATATATATATAGGTATTCAACTGAGATTCATCATGTTTCTCTCACTGAAACAGCAAGCTCTCCAGGCCTTCATGTTCCCAGTGAGGTAGGTAACCTTCTGATGATTATACTCACCCTCCCTCATTTCAAAGCTTCCATTGTTATTGTCTTGGCTCTGGATTCCCTCAAAAATAGACTATGAAACAAATATCTGGGGTCAGGTACTTTAATCAGAAATTGAGTGAGAAAGCACAGAAGTGGAGAAAATGAAACAGAACACGAAGCCAGTGTGAATGAGTAGTTACTGCTATGTGCTCAGTAATGATGGAGGTATGGAGATTGTCTCAAAATAACTTTACAAAGAGATGGGGATGCTGGAATTCCCATCTCTTATTGTTTAAGGATTGCCTTAGAATCATTAACTCTCCACCCCTAACTCCTTCTTTGTTCCTATGTGTGGTTGAGAAGCACTGGTTAGCCTCAAGAAGCTTGCAGGCAGGCCCAAAAATCAGAAAGACAGGCATGATGTGGGGAGCTCTCAGTTAGCTGGAAACAGGTGAATTTCAGGTGAACACGTTGAGTCCAGGACATAGAAGACAAGTCATCAGCAATATCTGCTGTGGCCAGTTTTCTTTTTCTTTTTAAGAATATATATACTTTTTATTGGGGGTCCCCAAGTCCCCCTTTGGTTTAATGATTCACATAACTCAAGAAAGCTGATTTTCTTTTGTGGTTATAGTTTCTAACAGTGAAAGAAACCAGATTAAAATAATCAGAAGCATAAAAGCACATAAAATTGAGTCCAAGACAAACCAGATGTGAGCTTACAGGTGTCCTTTCATAGTGGGGACTTCACACTGACTAATTTTCTTTACAATGGTGTGAGACAACATGTGTGAACTTGTTGCCAACTAGGGAAGTTCAGTCAGTCTTGAGTCCAGGGTTTTTATTAGGATTCCACCACATATGCATCGAGCGTCCTGTGACTGAACTTAGGTATTTAGTTCCCAACCTCCCTATGCCCTAAGAGAGGTCATATTAATATGGCATTACACAAAGTCATAGGCATACAGAAACAGGTGCTCAGAAGAAATCACGTTGTTAGCATAAGCTATGTGATATGATCTACGTTTGCAGGTATACAAAGACTCTCATCAGGCAGCATATACCAAGGGCTCATAGATTATCATCTCCCAGGAGCTTGTCAAGGGCCAGTCCTGAAGACCTTTGGAACGCGGAAGGTTTTGGAAAGCCATGTCTGCAGAATTAACCCTTCATTACACAACTTCCAAGATTTTTTTTATCTTTAAAATGTTTTTTGATCTTTGACAATGTACCAACCAATACTGAGTAATTAGTAACAACAGTGTACTCCTGAGTACTTGCACCTGCAAGGAGAAAAAGGACAGATGCACTTACATAGGACAGATGCAAATAGACACCACTATGACAAGTAAAGCTGGAATAATCAATAAATTCCTAAAGACAAAGTGGGGCTGGTGAGATTGGGAGACCGCTGACAGCTGCAGAAGTTGGGAAAGATCCATCATCTTGAAAACTTTTTCCCCACAAACCCACTGTGATCTCTCAAGCAATTGGTAAGGAACTCAAGAGAGTCTGTATATGATACAGATCAGGGAGAGCAGAACACTTGGGAGGTGACCAGGTCTTGGGGGCCGAGCCCTTGTGAATGGGATTAGTGCCCTTATAAAAGAAGCTCAATGGAGTTCCTGTGTGCCTTCCACTATGTGAGGATATAGAAAGAAGGCACTATCTATGAACCATGAAATGGGCTCTCATCAACACTGAATTTGTGAGCATCTTGACCTGAGATCTTACAGCCTCAAGAAGTGTGAAAAAAGAAATATCTGTTGTTTTTTAGTCACCCGGTTTATGTTATTTTGTTATAAGAGTCCGAATAGACCAAGATATTCCACTTAATATGTAGGGGAAGGCAACAAAAACTGCCACACTTAGAATACTCCTGATGCTGGGAGTATGAAAACAGGAAAAACAAAACAAAACTGCTCTTGAAGGTGAAGGAGGAATATCACTGAGCTCACCAACACAGCCAGGAAAGGAACAGAAGTGTGAGAAGGCTACATTCCTGAGACCCTGAGAAAAAGTACCTGCATAAGACTGAGATGAAATTACCTACCTTAGTTATAATTGAAATCCCAAAAAGAAAAGAGGAAAAAAATAATGGAGCAAAAGAAATATATTTCAAAATAACTGCCAAAAATATTCTAAAAGAAGTGACAGAAAATCAAACTTCAGATATAGGAAACTCAGAGAATGTCAAATAGAACAAAAATAAATAAGAATTCCATCTTGAAAAATCTTTAAAAAATCAACTCTAAATTTTATATCTTGCTCCAAATATATAGAGATACAAATAGGTTATCATCAAGATATGGAGAAAGCCATATCATGGAAACACTAAAATAAGGCTGTGGAAGGACTACATTGATATTAGACACAACAGAGTTCGGAACAATAAATCGTATCAGAGATGAGAGATAATAGATAGTAGAAAAATCAATTCTCAAGAAGATGTAAACATCCTACTAATTAGGGTATGCAGCTAACAACAGAACCTCCAAATACATGAGGTAAAACAGGAAAGAAATCAAAGGTGAACTAGAAAAATCCAAAATTATATTTGCAGACTTCAACACTTTTGTCTTAGTAATGGAAAGACTAGGCACAAACTCAGTAATCATGTGGAAGATAAGAACAATATCATCAACAAGACATCCAATCTTCAATGGCAGATACTCTTTCCTTTCAAGTGAAAAAAAAAAACAGTATGGCATATTCTCTAACAAACCCAGAATTTCTAATATTTGCGTTCTTCCTTCCTTCTTTCCATCTTCCTTTCTCTTCTCTTCCCTTCCCTTGCCTTCTTCCTTCCTTTCTTCTTTTCCTCTTCCTTTTCTTTTCTTTCTTTTCCTTTCTTTATTTTCTTTCTTTTTTCTTCCTTCCTTCTTTCTTTCTTTCCTCTTATTCTTCCTTCCCTCCTCCCTCCCTTCCTTTCTCCCTCCCTTTTCTTCCTTTTCTCATATTTTCTTTCTCACGTTCTTGTTTTCTTTCCTTTTTTCTCCCTTCCTCCCACCCTTCTTTTCTTCCTTCCTCCCTCCCTTCCTTTCCGCTTTTTCCTTCCTTCACCTCTTTATTTTCTTTGTTTCTTTGCCTTCCTCCCTTTTACCATTCTCTCTTCCTCCTTTACTTCCTCCCTTCCTCCTTTTCTTTCTTTCTTTCTCTGTTTCTCTTTCTTTCTTTCTTTCCTTCTTTCTTTCTTGTGTTCATGCTTTCTTTGTTCTCCCTTGCTGCCTTTCTCCCTTCCTCCCTCCCTCCCTTCCCTCATTTCCTCCTTCTTTTCTTTCTTCTTTCTTTCTTTCTTTATTTCCTTCCTTCCTTCTTTCCTTCCGTCTTTTTGTTTTCTTTTCTTTCTTTCTCTTTACTACATTTCATATTATTTTAAAAAAATTAAGAGAGGGAGACAGAAAAATAAAGGATGCTTTAATCTGCAGGTAAATAGATTATGTCTGCTGTAGGCAAAAGAATGGCCTCCCAAAAATTTTCATGTCCTAATTCCCAGAGTCTAACATACAAATATGTTAGGTTGCACGGTGGTGTGAAATTAGATTTCAAGTGAAATTAAGGTTGCAGAAAAATGACAGAGAGATTGTCTTAAATGGGTGGGATCAATGAAATCACAAACTTCCTTATAAGTAAAAGAAGAAGGCAGAAAAAAGGCAACCTTGGAGGTGGTGGCATGAGAAATTACTCAACATCACTGACTTTTAAGATACAAGAATGAGGACCCAGCGCAGTGGCTCACGCCTAATCCCAGCACTTTGGGAGGCTGGGGTGTGTTTATCACGAGGTCAGGAGATCGAGACCATCCTGGCTAACATGGTGAAACCCCATCCCTACTAAAAACACAAAAAATTAACTGGGCATGGTGGCAAGTGCCTGTAGTCCAAGCTACTCAGGAAGCTGAGGCAGAAGAATCACTTGAACCCGGGAGGCAGAGGTTGCAGTGAGCGGAGATCATGCCACTGCACTCCAGACTGGGTGACAGAAGGAGAATACATCTCAAAAAAAAAAAAAAAGAAAAATAGGATATAAGAACGAGGTCATGTTCCAAGGAATAAAGGTGGCCTCTGGATGCTGAAAAAAATCAAGTAATAGATTCTGCCACATAGCCCTCAGAAAGACTGCAGCCCTGCCCAAAACTTGATGTTAGCCCTGTGAGTTTCATTTAAGGCTTCTGAACTACAGAACTGTAGGATTAACGGTCACTTTATTGTAAGATATGAAGTTTGTGGTAATTGGTTACAGCAGCAAGAGGAAGTTTATATTGTAATTGTAACATGAAAATGAGAACCATAATTTACAACTGCTTTTAATACTGCACTTGGATGTTTGAAATCACGTACATGGAAATGGTCTCTATGTGCATGAGGGAGGATAGCAAATTGATGCCAAAGTAATGCAAATGCAAATCTTACACTCATTTCTATGTAGGTTTCATTTAATCTTTGAAATTAAAATGAAATTAAAAGATTGTTACATTTTGATGAAATTAGACTAAAATGAACAATAACAAAATAAGAACTTACTTATATTCTTTATATGGTCAATAAAGAAGTGATAGTGGAAAAAAACAAGATCAAATGAAGGTGATGATTTAGGAAGTTGGAAAGATAGCTGAAACTACAAAATGGTATATAACCAGTGAACACTTAGACACACTGATTGATGAACTTCAGCTTTTGGCTTGGTGAGAGCATAAAATGAGAGCAGCTGAGGTTTGCAAATTTGTAATCTCCTTGTGGAAAAACGGGGGAAAACACATCTCAGCCTAAGAAGATTTATTTACTAAAGAGTCTAGACTTGATCCATTTGTCCTTGTAATTCAAAAGCTAATTCAAATACTGATTTGATGTATTGTGTGAACAACCATTGCTGATTATTGTCGCATACCTGGCATTCTCTTTTATCTGATATCTAAAATATTTGGTAATTCCTGGACTTTCTCTTTTCAAACCCAGTACGGTTTAATTAGAGCCTTAGAACAGTTGTCTTTGAGAAATTCTTACCTCTACTGCATCTGTGAATGGGCATAGCATGGTTACATACATACTGTCACTCCACAGAACATTTGTTAAATTAAAGCCAAAGTTTAAAGCAAGAGCTTTAACTTACTGGTTTTACTAATGTTTTCCTCCCCAATAGCCACAACAATATTGATACCCTCACACCTTTTCACATAAAGCTTGGTGTTGTCTATTTTTCAAGTGCTGTCATCTATATGATCTCAGTATTTTAAAAATCAGCTTCCAGCCCATATGGTGGTTCATGCTTGTAATAGCAGCAGTTGAAGAGGCTGAAATGAGAGGATTCCTTGAGCCCAGGAGTTCAAAAGCAACCTGGGCAACATAGCAAGACCCAGTCTCTATCAAAAGTTAAAAAAAAAAAAGTGAGCATGGTGATGTGTACATGTTGTCCTAGCTATTTGGGAGGCCAAGGTGGAAGGATTGCTTGAGCTTGGGAGGCTGAGGCTGCAGTGAGCAGTGATTGCACCACTGCACTCCAGCCTGGGCAACAAAACAAGACCCTATCTCAAAAAATATATATAATAAAAATGAAAATCAGCTCCCATTGATTTCTATGTAAATATGCACAGGTGATGTCCATATAGACATAAATAATAATATTTCTGACAATGGGTCCATATGATCTTCAAAATATAAAATGCCTATCTGTGTAATTGACTGGTTAGTCTCATTAATGAATATAGATTCAATTCTACTTTCTTGTTCTAGATAAATTATATAATCTAGCTTTTCATTTCACTTATTTACTGATAACAACAGGAAGAATGACAAGATATCTATTTTGGAAAATTACTCTGGTAGGAGTAAAGATGAAACAATGATAGAATTGCATGGAAAACTAGAAAAAAGTATGGTCTTCTGATATTCTATCACATCACATACTAAAGGCCTCATAAAACTCAGATATTTTATCTAAAAATGTTATTTTCATCATAGGAATGATCAAAGCATGAGACTACAATTGTATTAAAATGTGCTTGTATCACAAGCACAGGTGCTAAAAAGGAAGGGAAAACATCATTACTGATATTTTCAAAGTATGTTATACTTTCCATCAACATGAACCTCAACTTGATATGATGCAGATTGAAGGAAATCACCCATAATTCCATATGAAGAAGGCCTGTGATATTTTATGGGAAAATAAATAGAGAAAATGCTAACAGAAACCCTATTAAGCATGAAGCTTTATGGAGCAAACACAAATCCATTGGTGAAAGATACACACTCGAGTTCTGTTTGTTGTCTTGGAACAATACGGTTTAGAGGTGACTGGCGGGTGAGGAGAAAATATGCGAGTTCACCAAAGAGAAAAGCTGAATGAGGCAATGCCTCTTCCTGACCATATCTCTTACTCAGATAACTATATAATTTATTGTCCAGTAGAGGGTATATTAAAAAATCATATTAAAAGTCATGCAGTGAAGTTGTCCAGGGAAATCAAGACTTAACAGTCTCACTCTGACAATAATGAACAGGGGGATTCCCTCAAGATAGACTAGGACATGACCCAACACTGGCAGATAGTAGTACCAGAAAAGAGCCCATGGAAAATCTTTACCTTATGCTTGAGGTAGGGACCAGGCTAAAGTGAAAGCCAGACATAAAATTCTATCTAAAATAAATCCACAATCAAAGAAAATATGTGGTGTACAGGCATAGAATGTCTTTACTGGATCATTGAAATAGTAAGATAAATTCAACTTTTTACAGTGTTTTCTTTTCCTCCAGTTAGGGCTTGAGGTTTGTCTCTGGAGAGTGACTGTCAATTGGAGCCCTGCCTTTCTAGGGTTCTGGTCAGGGGGTTGTGGATGCTTAACATGTGCCTTTCACAGGACACTTCCTTACCCCAGCAGTGGCCAGGTGTGCATCCCACGACCAGGCCTCCCTCTCACAGAACATCTGTTGAGACTAGGAGATGCCTGGTGACTGTTGCCTGACCTGTGTCCTGCGTATTTCTGACAAGAGCCACTCTCAGAGACCCTGGCCAGGAGGAGGGTTAGGTTCCAGTGTAGGTCAGCTCAGACCCATGGAGGCCACAGAACCAAACATGGGAAATCACAGAAGTAGGTTTATTACTCACAGATCCAGAGAGAAGAGGGTAGCTGAGAAGACGGTTTAGCTGTGTCCCCAGCCAAATCTCATCTTGAATTCCCACATGTTGTGGGAGGGAACAGCTGGGAGGTAATTGAATTATGGGGGCAGATCTTTCCCATGCTGTTCTTCTGATAGTGAATAAGTCTTACAAGATCTGATGGTTTTATAAAGGGGAGTTTCCCTGCACAAGCTCTCTTGTCTTGTCTGCTGCCATGTGAGACGTGCCTCTCACCTTGTGCCATGATTGTGAGGCCTACCCAGCCATGTGGAACTGTGCGTCTATTAAACCTCTTTCTTCTGGAAATTACCCAGTCTTGGGAATGTCTTTACCGGCGGTGTGAAAATGGACTAATACAGTAGCACACCTCATAGGGCTGAACAAAATGGGGAAGATGAGTGGGGAGCAGGAGAGAGAAAAGGGGTCTGTGAGACTCCAGCGTTTATTGGGCCCAGAACATTACCCACATAAGTATTCCACGGGGCACTAGTCAGTGGGGTGAGTGCCAGCAGGCACATTTCTTGACTCCTGCTGCAACCGAGCAGGTCACTCTGGCGTGTGGGGGCTGTCCATGTGTGCTGTGAGGTCTGTGGGGTGAGTCAGGTAGGTTGTATCCAACGGTTGAGGTAAATAGGAGAAACATAGAATTTATGTAAACAGTGAGAAGATTGGATGCGTTTTCCATCACATATTTTAATACTAGCAGCATATTATATATGTCAATCCATCAGGCATTCAGAAATACATGCTTATGAAAATTTTTTGCACCATCAGACAAAAGACAAGGGTAGAAGAGATTTGTAACCCTATAAACACTAGTAAATTAAAAACAGAAGGACCTTTATGTCCTAACATATCTGTGTTGTGAAAGGCTGCCCTGTGAAATACGGGATTTCTTAAACATATTTTAAAAATCATAGGTGTCAATATTTTTTAGAAATCCATTTAAATTTTCTCTTGCTATTTTAGAATGCCTATTTATTTATTTAGTGGCTCTGCTGATTTTGATGTATATCCTAAATTTTATATTTTCTTTAAAGGATGTTTTATACAACTTTGTGTAAAATGTTTCAGTATCTTCACATTCTCTCCCTGTCCTTTTGTTTTGCTCTCATATGGCGGTCTTGAGTCTTTTCTCTGGCTTTTCAAACCTAGTAAGACTAAGACACTAAAGTAACTTTGCCCGTGGTTTGGTAATGCCTTCTAAATAAAGCACATCCTAAGCTCTCGTGCATAAAGGGGTCTCCTTTGAGCTCTGTGCTTTTGAGATCCCATATACATAAATTCCAGTACTCCAAATCAGTACTGCTCAGTGTTAGTTACTAAGTTTAAAAATGTATTTTAATAGCAAGTCAGTTTAGTGCACTCTTGCTTCTTTCTTGATTGCTTGTATACATGTATATTCCTTTAAATGAATCTTGGAATTTATTTAAAAAATTTAAATTATACTAATGAAACTGTATATTGTTGTGAATTCATAAATGAATTTGGAAAGAATTTGTCTTTATGATACTAAATCCTTTTTATCCAAGAATCATATGTGTCTTTATATTTATTCCAGTCTATATTTATATCACTGAGTAAATATATAGAAATGTAGATACATACAGCTATAGTTATAGATACAAATATAGATATAACATGTTAAATCTATATCTATCCCATATAACATATATACATGTTATATGTGTGTGTGTATATATATATGTTCATGTTATTAAAGAGCTCCCTTAAATTTTTTCTTTTATTTCCTATATAATTTCAGGTCAAGCTTGAATTTTCCTTGTATAAACAAGCAAATATTTATACTAGTTTTAATACTGATGTTTAGACATTGTATCTTATTTTAGCATTGAATATTTTCACAATTATTATAAATATTAGCTAATATTAATAATGTACCTGCTAAAAATATTTAAAATTTTACCTTTGAATTATTTTATTGTTGAATTAAAATTCCTTTAATATGATAGTAAATTTCTATTTTATGCTTTCTCTATGCATATGCAAATTAATCTATCCACTTCTCTATCTCTATGTAGTAACATATGAAAATCAGGCCTCTTCTTCTAATGGACATACACATCTTTGCATATAGAATATCAGACTCTTTATAGCATTTAAAATCTTTAAAGACATGGATATTGTCTTTTAACAAATATATTTTAGCATGTACTGAGAATCCCCTATTTTTAATTTGGGCTAATCAATATGATTATTAATATTATTGGATTACCAAATTTGGAAACGCACTTTCATCCCCAAGGTGGATATTTGTTTTTTTTTTGTTGCCAATTTCTTGTCTTACTGTTTCAAATATTGTTGGATATTATTTTTATTTTATTTGGCATTTTAGTATCAACATTTGTAATTGATGTACTCTACATATTTTTTCTACAATATCTGCTGGGTTTTATAATTACTTCTATATTGGATTTGTAGTAGACATTGACAAAAATTATTCCTGCATGTTTTATAGCTGTATGAAGGAAACTAATATATTTTACCCCTAAATATATTTCCTTGATATATTTCAAAATGGCTATTCAGAAGGGCTGGAAATGTAAACATAGCTGCAAAGCTGTCTTGGGGAGATTTGCATCGGTAGAGAATCTACCTCGATGCAGCCAGGCTTTCTCTGAGGTCTGCCCCTTTGTCTGGATCTAGAAAAGTTTAACTGAGAGTCTGAGGTCTCCAGAGGTCTGAAAGAAACATTTTCTGTCTATTCTCTCTGAGGACTGCTCCCAGTGAGGTTCCACCTACGTAATAAGTCCACTGTTGCTAGCCAGGGTCGTTTTCTCACATAACCTTTTTTTTTTTTTCCCTGTGATCCAAGACCCCATTCTTTCTGTAAACTTCATGTGGTAGATAAGCTTCTGCACGCATCGTGTGTCTGGGTCTTCGTTCTAAGGGCTCCAGTGTACACACATTGCAGAAACCTGTATGCCTTTTCTACTATTTATCTGCCTCTTATTAGTGATTTTCAGGGAAACTTCAGAAGGCAAAAGGGACATTCTCCTTTAGCCCATACTCAGACAAAATCCCCCAACATTTAACTGATTCCTAATAGCTTAAAATCACTTTGAAAAATCCATATATTTATAACCTTTTCTTCCCTCTATGATTTCTGGTCAGCTTGGGTTTTGTTTTTCATTCCATTTACTTCATCCTCAAAAAGATCTATTTTACGTCTATTTATTCTCATTTATGGACATTGAGAAAAGAAAATAACTTTCATGTGAGAAATGCAATTCCTTTTAAATAATCAGGCCCAGAGAGATATTCAAATGAGACAGCAGTTCTGTCCTGCTCCTCTTTGAGCTGTGTGTTCATCTAGGCTGCTTGCTGTTGCCACATTAGCTATAAATTAACCAATAATGCCACACCAGACACTATAATCCACACCCAATAATAGTGTAACAGTGTATAGCCAGTCACTAATAAATGTCATTTCCATAAGCCAATGAGAATTTATGACAAGCCTCTTTGCATCATCCCACTTCTGGACCCTTTTTTGCCTTTAAGAAACTGCTTGTTGCAAAGCTCCAAAGGGAATTCATATCCAAGGATACTTGGGTCTGTTTCTTTCAGGCAGCTGTCCTCATTTTGGCTCAAGTAAACTCTTCGAATTACGTTTTGTGCTTCAGCCCCTTCCACTTACATTAACAACATGGATTTGTGTCACCATGTACAGCAATTAAAATGTTTACACTTCTCCCCTCGAGGGCACTGATGTGTTTTCCTGAGCACTTGGAATAGCTACGTAGTGTTTACTGTCTAGATTATGGTTTCTCAACCTTGGTGCTACTTACCTTTAGGACCAGAGGATTCTGTGTTGTGGGAGGCTGCCCTAGCAATGCTAGGTGTTTCGTTTGACCTCTAAATTTCACACCTCCACCAGTCTTGACATCCCCACAATAACCCTAGACATTGACAAATGTCTCCTGGGGAAAACTCTCCACCAGTTGACAGGCAAAGTTCTGGAAATATTGGAATTGTCAATTGAGATTTTATGTTATCCAAAACAAACATTTTTCTTTGTTTTTAAACATCTACTTCCATCTACTTATCTACTTATTTTTACTTTTATTTGTAACTTAATTCCATCAAGGAGAGTGCATTTTCTGTTATGCTAAATTTTTGAAGAATGTATTGATTTTTTATGACCGGATATATGGATGATATGTAGATATTACATGTTTGTATTATCAAATTTCAGGGCGATAATAAAATAAATACTTATAATATTTATATTGTCACTGTATATTTGTTATTTTCTTTCTTCGCTACAGGAGTTTTTCAACCTATAGGCTATTTTTCAATTCTAGGTTATCCAGTAGATTTTGAAATGTTATGATTAAATATCTACTTCTCAAGCATTCATCTTTGCAAATGAAACAATCCCAAGCTCTTATAATGCACATCATACAAAGGGCAGATTAGTCAATATATGGTTCAGAAATAATTATGTAATATTTATAAGAAAATTAAAAATTTAGATCCTTAACTCAGATAACAATAATCCAAATTAAAATTTGATTTCATTACATAATTTAAAATGACACCAGAATACTAGTAAAAATGCAGATAAGTTTATATAATCTTTTTTAGCTATAGGACTTTATTAGCATAAATTCAAATACAGGAACCAAAGTAAGATTGAGACCTATAGTCAAAGGTTAAAATGTACACATTATAGGGGCATGATTAAACTAATTTAAAGCATAGTAACATGGAGAAATATTGCAAAACATACATTTTACTGAATTGTTAATATCTAATCATTATGTGAGAACAAAATTAAAGAGTAGCTACGCACGCACACACCCACACACAAGTGCAATATTGTCAAATAAACGATGTTCAGCTACACTAGAAATCACACCTGTGTTTTTTCCACAGAAAAGATTAAAAATCACAATAATATTTATTGTACATATGGAGGTAAGGATACTCAAAATATTACCCTAAAATACACTTTTTTTTTTGAGATGGAGTTTTGCTTTTATTGCCCAGGCTAGAGTGCAATGGCACAATCTTGGCTCACTGCAACCTCAGCCTCCCAGGGTCAAGTAATTCTAGCACAGCCTCCCACGTAGCTGAGATTACAGGCATGCACCGCCACACTCGGCTAATTTTTTGTATTTAGTAGAGACGGGGTTTCACCAGGTTGGTCAGGCTGGTCTCCAACTCCTGGCTTCAGGTGATCTACCCACTTCAGCCTCCCAAAGTGCTGGGATTACAGGCGTGCTCCTGGCCAGCTTTTTGACATATTTCAAGATGGCTACTCAGAAGACTGGAGATAGCTTCTTCTACAAGAATAGCTGAAAAGATGTGTTTGTTGGGGCGATTTGCATTTGTAGAGAAAATCTGCATTGATATAGACAGGCTTTCCCTGAGATACTCCCTTGTCTGGGTTTAGGAAAGATTAACTGAGCCTGGCACGTTTACATTTCTAAAAACCATTTCCTATCTATACTTCCCAAGAGGAGGGCTGCTCTCTGTGAGGTTTCATCCATGTAACAAGACCACCTCTGCTGCCAGGCTCCTCTTTCTTCCTTGTCATCACCTGTCTTCTGCAAAGCCTGATTTACCAACCTACAGCTCTGTGTTTTCTGTAACCTCAAGACATAGGCGTGTTGACTGCCTTGTCTTTCCTGGAGTTTTTATATATATAGTATATATTTGTATATCCATTTATAATATACAAATATTTGTATAGATATATTTATATATATTATGTAAACTCCAAGTGCATACTGTTGCACATATCTGTAGACCTTTTTTTCCTGTTAATTTGTACGTTATCAGTTTATTTTATAGACTCAAATAATTAAAGCTTCAAGGGAAAAATTTAAACTTTCCTATAGAGAAAAGACAAATATATAGGTGACAAATAATATTTAGAGTGTAAGACGCTTTTTAAACGTATATTTGTAATTTGTGTCAAAACATTTAAATATACATTTGTTATTTTAACTATAAAATTTCAAATAATTTAAGCCAAATTCATAGTATATGCAGAAAATTTAGCAATATATCTATGTAGCACCTTACTGTGCATTACTGTAACCAGCCGTCTAATATAAAGAATTAAGGTAGCAGCTACTTTTCAAATAGCGCATTTTTTCACAGACCTATTAAATAAGACAAATAACATTTAAACTTTATTTTTAAATTTGCAGAATAGCAGTTTTCAGCAGATGGTTTATTTTAGCAAATTGCATCTTCACATTGTGCTATGCTTTTATGAGTGCCAGCTGTTAACGGATATTTTACTGCTGAAATTATCACGTGTGATATAATTGCTCATTATGTGCCTTAAAACACAAGCAATATAATTATTTTCAACTTGGAGCAAATTAAAATCTTATCAGCAATTTAAAAACTCTAGAGTCGTCTTCTTCTGGTTAATTATTTTAAACTTGTATTTTTCTCTTTATGTTTTTAGTGAGTTGTCTTATCAAGGAGAAGAACTCAAGCTGATTATTCTTTTTTTTCTCTTCCATCCACCTCGCAGGTGTGTTAATAATTTCATTTCCCAGAAAATGTTCTTTCATATCCATCTTACAAGATGAGAGACTTTTTCACATCTTCCATTCGGATGTGATACCAGTAATGGAAAATATTCCAGCTTCATGAATATGGTGATACTAATAGTTATCCGTCTAACCTCTTTCAGTGCCAAATGTTTACTTTACTCAGTGAATTACTCAGTTGACTGGTAATTTCTTCTGAAATCACTAATGAGAGGATCAGAGGTCTGGCTGTGGTCTGTACCGCATATGATTCCCAGTGCAGACAATTGTTTCTATGGAGCACAGACAGTTGAAAGGATTGACTTCCTGCCTAGAATAGTTTCTGCTGTGCTTCTTATCCTTCTTGTGGAGATTTCAGATTATCTGAATTGCTTTTCTATCTTAAGAAAAAACTCAACAATTCTCCCACCTGAGAGGAATGTAAACTGTAGTAAGTTAGCAGAACCAATCCATAAAATTTTTACATTGTTTGTTGCAAAATGCAGCGCTGGTGTCTCCATCACTAACCTTTTCTATCCCTCATTGCTCCTTCTTTGATTGCAATAGGATACCTCTAGGCAAATCTGTATTCCCGAGACAGAGTGCCCTTTTGGTGAGCTATAAGTACACGCAATGGTAGGTTGAAATACTAGCTTTTATCTATGGCGAAATGGAATCATATCAGTGATTGTTTTTAAAAGGAAATTTAACTCTTGCTATGGTTTGAATGCTTGTCCCTTCCAATGTCATGTTAAAATTTGATCCCCAATGTGCAGGTGGGGCTTACTGGGAGGTGTTTTGTCATGGGGTTGGACCTTCATGAATGGATAATACCCTCCCTTAGAAATCTAAAGCTATCCTCCCTCCTCGGTGCCCTCAGGAATGAGTGTACCATTCTTTATTCACCTATAATTCCCCCACCCATCCTTTATGAGACAATAATTACATGTATGTTACACTGCTGCATATTGTCTGACGTATCAGTGAGCTTCTGGCTTTCTTATTTTAGTTTACCCATTGTCCTTTAGTTTTGAAGCTTCTTTTTTTTTCTATAAATTTTCTGATGTTAGGGTAAAATCCATTACTTATTCTATCTCATGGAATTTTTATTTCAAATATTTATTTTCCATCTATACATGTCACATTTTTCATTTTATAACTTCTATTTTTCTCCTATGTTCAATTTTCATTTAAGTACCTTGACATATATATGTATTTATCTATATGTATTTATAAAATATATTTACTTTAAGGACCTTGAAATTTCCTTCTTCTCTGTCATTTATAAATGACTTATTTTTATCCTGTTAATATATATCTTAATTATATATATCTTACGGCATCTTTGTATGCCAGAGCTTTTTTTGGGGGGTATTTTGGTGTTATGCTATTGAATATCTAGATTTGATTGGCTACCTTTGAACAATGTTGTGGCAGGCAGTTCAGTAACTTCAGGATGAGTATTTTTCTGTTGTTGTTTTAAATCTTCTCTTTAAACGTTGTGGAGTTAGTCTAGAGCCATCTGTAATTTGGAGCTAAATGAGCACTGTCACCAGGGCATGAACCTCCAGTGGTCTTTACTGAATATCCTGGAGGTACAGAGGGGATTCCCTTCTCTGGCTGGTCAGAGCTGACGTGTCTTGCTGTCATGTGATGCCAGGGAAGTGTTCTTCTTCCAACTCCCTGGTAGAGTCCTTTGCTGAGCTCCTTAGAATTTCATCCTATGTACATTTGGCTTAGGGACTTGGGAGAATCCTTAGGCTGATTCTTGTTTCCTTTTTCTGTAAACGTTCTCTTCTACTACACATTCCAGCTACTTAACCTTTTTTGATTTTTATCTGGTTCCTCAGTGCAATGACAATGTCTGCTCTCTCTGGGATTCCTCTCTACTGCTGTCACGGAGAATCTGGGAATAAAGCAGGACTCATTCTGGCTCCTTCTCTTCTCTTGCGGAGCACAGTACTGTGCTGCCTGATGTTCTGTACTTCAAAAAAATGTTTCATATATTTTGTCCTGTTTACTATTCTTTAACTCTAAAAGAGTAACTCCAGTCCCAGTTACAGCATCATGTTCTGTAACTCTATTCCTTGTTGCTTCATTCTGCCATTGTCTGGTATGATCGCCCCTTTCCCTTCTGTAATCGGGCCAAGAGCATAATATAATACTAGTTATAACTGCACAGGTTGCCTCCGTTGTGTAAAAAAATCACTGAGACTTAACTGTGTCCATCTTTTAAAATGTGAATATAAGTACAACTAAAGCTATATTTTGGTTAATATTTGCATTGCATGCTTTTCCATTATTTACTTTTAACATATGTGAAATATGAATATAAATTATAAAAACTTTCAGAGAGTCCATTTAAAAAATCTGGTCTGGTTATGTTTTACCTGGTTTAATACAAAGTGCATTCCTGAATTCAGGGTCTAATATAATTGATACATCTGTCTATTTGCAAAAAAAAAAAAAAAACTTGACAATATTTTAAAATTAATTTATCCAACTCACAACTTATATGCTTCTGCCGTTTTATGGAAGATACATTTTAAACTTTATGAGATAGCATTCTGTTATACAGTCAATATCCAATTAAATTTCTATATTTATTTCTTTTATTAAAAAATTGTTCTTCTAACTACAAACTTTCATCAGGGATCATGGCTCTTCTACCTGAAGAATAATCTTTAGTATTTCTTTTCCTGTGGGTCTGCTTGGGAGAAATTCTTTATTGTATCTTTGCTTTTGATGGATATGTCCACCAAGTAGACAGTTCTAGGTCAGCATTGATTTTATTTCAGGACTTGAAAGATATCAATACCTCACTTGTTGGCTTTCATTGTTTCATTTGAGAAAGTTGTTATCAGTTACCTCTTTCTCTTTGTAGTTAGCCCAATTTTTTTTTATCAAGTGCTCTTTACATTTTTCTTTTACTTTTCAGAAATTGTCCCATTATGTTTCTAGATGTGTCCTCTGTGTGTGTTTTCCTTTGCTTTGAAAAGCCTCCTGAACCTGTGGTTTAATATTATTGGTCGATTTTGATAAAACCTCTAACATTGCCACTTAAAATGCTGTTCAGACAAGCTGTTTTCTCCTTCTTAGATTTCAACGTGTTAGATTATTACTCTATACTTCATATTTTTTAAATGACCTTTCTCTACAATTTTTTTAGTTGGTCAATCTGTATTAGTGTATATTTTGTTATTTTATTCTATTTTATTTTATTATTATACCTTAAGTCTTAGGATACATGTGGACCATGTGCAGGTTTGTAACATAAGTGTTCATGTGCCATGTTGGTGTGCTGCACCCATGAACTCGTCATTTAGCATTAGGTAGGTCTCCTAATGCTATCCCTCCCCACTCACCCCACCCCACAACAGTCCCGGAAGTGTGATGTTCCCCTTCCTGTGTCCATGTGTTCTCATTGTTCAATACCCACCTATGAATGATAACATGTGGTGTTTGGTTTTTGTCCTTGCGAGAGTTTACCGAGAACGATGATTTCCAGTTTCATCCATGTCCCTACATAGGACACAAACTCATCATTTTTTGTGGCTGCATAGTACTCCATGGTGTATATGTGCCACATTTTCTTAATCCACTCTATCGTTGTTGGACATTTCGGATGGTTCCAAGTCTTTGCTATTGTGAATACTGCTGCAATAAACATACGTGTGCATGTGTCTTTATAGCAGCATGATTTATAGTCCTTTGTGTATATACCCAGTAATGGAATGGCTGGGTCACATGGTATTTCTAGTTCTAGATACTTGAGGAATCGCCACACTGACTTCCACAATGGTTGAACTAGTTTACAGTCCCACCAACAGTGTAAAAGTGTTCCTATTTCTCCACATCCTCTCCAGCACCTGCCGTTTCCTGACTTTTTAATGATCGCCATTCTAACTGGTGTGAGATGGTATCTCGTTGTGGTTTTGATTTGCATTTCTCTGATGGCCAGTGATGATGAGCATTTTTTCATGTGTTTTTTGGCTGCATAAATGTCTTCTTTTGAGAAGTGTCTGTTCGTGTCCTTCACCCACTTTTTGATGGGGTTGTTTGTGTTTTACTTATAAATTTGTTTGAGTTCATTGTAGATTCTGGTTATTGGCCCTTTGTCAGATGAGTAGGTTGCAAAAATTTTCTCCCATTTTGTAGGTTGCCTGTTCACTCTGATGGTAGTTCCTTTTGCTGTGCAGAAGCTCTTTAGTTTAATTAGATCCCCTTTGTCAATTTTGGCTTTTGTTCCCATTGCTTTTGGTGTTTTAGACATGAAGTCCTTGCCCACGCCTATGTCCTGAATGGTATTGCCTAGGTATTCTTCTAGGGTTTTTATGATTTTAGGTCTAACATGTAAGTCTTTGATCCAACTTGAATTAATTTTTGTATAAGGTGTAAGGAAGGGATCCAGTTTCAGCTTTCTACATATGGCTAGCCAGTTTTCCCAGCACCATTTATTAAATAGGGACTCCTTTCCCCATTGCTTGTTTTTGTCAGGTTTGTCAAAGATCAGATAGTTGTAGCTATGCGGCATTATTTCTGAGGGCTCTGTACTGTTCCATTGATCTATGTCTGTGTTTTGGTACCAGTAACATGCTGTTTTTGTTACTGTAGCCTTGTAGTATAGTTTGAAGTCAGGTAGCGTGATGCCTCCAGCTTTGTTCTTGTGGCTTAGGATTGACTTGGTGATGCGGGCTCTTTTTTGGTTCCATATGTACTTTAAAGTCTTTTTTTCCAATTCTGTGAAGAAAGTCATTGGTAGCTTGATGGGGATGGCATTGAATCTATAAATTACCTTGGGCAGTATGGCCATTTTCACGATATTGATTCTTCCAACCCAAGAGCATGGAATGTTCTTCCATTTGTTTGTATCCTCTTTTATTTCATTGAGCAGTGGTTTGCAGTTCTCCTTGAAGATGTCCTTCATGTCACTTGTAAATTGGGTTCCTAGGTATTTTATTCTCTTTGAAGCAATTGTGAATGGGAGTTCCCTCATTATTGTGCACTCTGTTTGTCTGTGATTGGTGTACAAGAATGCTTGTGATTTTTGTACATTGATTTTGTATCCTGAGACTTTGCTGAAGTTGCTTATCAGCTTAAGGAGATTTTTGGCTGAGACAATGGGGTTTTCTAGATATACAACCATGTCATCTGCAAACGGGGACAATTTGACTTCCTCTTTTCCTAATTGAATACCCTTTGTTTCCTTCTCCTGCCTGATTGCCCTGGCCAGAACTTCCAACACTATGTTGAATAGGAGTGGTGAGAGAGGACATCCCTGTCATGTGCCAGTTTTCAAAAGGAATGCTTCCAGTTTTTGCCCATTCAGTATGATATTGGCTGTGGGTTTGTCATAGATAGCTCTTATTATTTTGAGATACGTCCCATCAATACCTAATTTATTGAGAGTTTTTAGCATGAAGGGCTGCTGAATTTTGTCAAAGGCCTTTTCTTCATCTATTGAGATAATCCTGTGGTTTTTGTCTTTGGTTAGGTTTATATGCTGGAGTAGGTTTATTGATTTGCATACATTGAACCAGCCTTGCATCCCAGGGATGAAGCCCACTGGATCATGGTGGATAAGTTTTTGATGTGCTGCTGGATTCGTTTTGCCAGTATTTTATTGAGGATTTTTGCATCAATGTTCATCAAGGATATTGGTCTAAAATTCTCTTTTTTTGTTGTGTCTCTGCTTGGCTTTGGTATCAGGATGATGCTGGCCTCATAAAATTAGTTAGAGAGGAATCCCTCTTTTTCTATTGATTGGAATAGTTTCAGAAGGAATGGTACCAGTTCCTCCTTGTACCTCTGGTAGAATTCTGCTGTGAATCCACCTGGTCCTGGACTCTTTTTGGTTGGTAAGCTATTGATTATTGCCACAATTTCAGAGCCTGTTATTGGTCTATTCAGAGATTCAACTTCTTCCTGGTTTAGTCTTGGGAGGGTGTATGTGTCGAGGAATTTATCCATTTCTTCTAGATTTTCTAGTTTATTTGTGTAGAGGTGTTTGTAGTTTTCTGTGATGGTAGATTGTATTTCTGTGGGATCGGTGGTGATAACCCCTTTATCATTTTTTATTGCTTCTATTTGATTCTTCTCTCTTTTCTTCTTTATTAGTCTTGCTAGTGGTCTATCAATTTTGTTGATCTTTTCAGAAAACCAGCTGCTGGATTCATTAATGTTTCAAAGGGTTTTTTGTTTCTCTATTTCCTTCAGTTCTGCTCTGATTTTAGTTATTTCTTGCCTTCTGCTAGATTTTGTATGTGTTTGCTCTTGCTTTTCAAGTTCTTTTAATTGTGATGTTAGGGTGTCAATTTTGGATCTTTCCTGCTTTCTCTTGTGGGCATTTAGTGCTATAAATTTCCCTCTACACACTGCTTTGAGTGTGTCCCAGAGATTCTGGTATGTTTTGTCTTTGTTCTCGTTGGTTTCAAAGAACATCTTTATTTCTGCCTTCATTTTGTTATTTACCCAGAGGTCATTCCGGAGCAGGTTGTTTATTTTCCATGTAGTTGAGCGGTTTTGAGTGAGTTTCTTAATCCTGAGTTCTAGTTTGATTGCACTGTGGTCTCAGAGACAGTTTGTTATAATTTCTGTTCTTTTACATTTGCTGAGGAGAGCTTTACTTCCAACTATGTGATCAAGTTTGGAATGGGTGTGGTGCGGTGCTGAAAAAAATGTATATTCTGTTGATTTGGGGTGGAGAGTTCTGTAGATGTCTATTAGGTGCGCTTGGTGCAGAGCTGAGTTCAATTCCTGGGTGTCCTTGCTAACTTTCTGTCTCGTTGATCTGTCTAATGTTGACAGTGGCATGTTAAAATCTCCCATTATGATTGTGGGGGAGTCTAAGTCTCTTTGTAGGTCACTCAGGACTTGCTTTATGAATCTGGGTGCTCCTGTATTGGGTGCATATATATTTAGGATAGTTAGCTCTTCTTGTTGAATTGATCCCTTTACCCTTATGTAAAGGCCTTCTTTGTCTCTTTTGATCTTTGTTGGTTTAAAGTCTATTTTATCACAGACTAGGATTGCAACCCCTGCCTTTTTTTGTTTTCCATTTGCTTGGTAGATCTTCCTCCATCCCTTTATTTTGAGTCTATTTGTGTCTCTGCACGTGAGATGGGTTTCCTGAATACAGCACACTGATGGGTCTTGTCTCCTTATCCAATTTGCCAGTCTGTGTATTTTAATTGGAGCATTTAGCCCATTTACATTTAAAGTTAATATTGTTATGTGTGAATTTGATCCTGTCATTATGATGTTAGCTGGTTATTTTGCTCGTTAGTTGATGCAGTTTCTTCCTAGTCTCAATGGTCTTTACATTTTGGCATGTTTTTGCCGTGGCTGGTACCAGTTGTTCCTTTCCATGTTTAGTGCTTCCTTCAGGAGCTCTTTTAGAGCAAGCAAATCTCTCAGCATTTGCTTGTCTGTAAAGTATTTTATTTCTCCTTCACTTATGAAGCTTAGTTTGGCTGGATATGAAATTCTGGGTTGAAAATTCTTTTCTTTAAGAATGTTGAGTATTGGTCCCCACTCTCTTCTGGCTTGAAGAGTTTCTGCCAAGAGATCAGCTGTTAGTCTGATGTGCTTCCCTTTGTGGGTAACCCGACGTTTCTCTCTGGCTGCCCTTAACATTTTTTCCTTCATTTCAACTTTGGTGAATTTGACAATTATGTGTCTTGGAGTTTCTCTTCTTGAGGAGTATCTTTGTGGCGTTCTCTGTGTTTCCTGAATCTGAATGTTGGCCTGCCTTGCTAGATTGGGGAAGTCCTCCTGGATAATATCTTGCAGAGTGTTTTCCAACTTAGTTCCATTCTCCCCGTCACTTTCAGGTACACCAATCAGACATAGGTTTGGTCTTTTCACATAGTCCCATAATTCCTGGAGGCTTTGTTCGTTTCTTTTTATTCTTTTTTCTCTAAACTTCCCTTCTCCTTTCATTTCATTCATTTCATCTTCCATCACTAATACCCTTTCTTCCAGTTGATTGCATCGGCTCCTGAGGCTTCTGCCTTCTTCACGTAGTTCTTGAAACTTGGTTTTCAGCTCCATCAGATCCTTTAAGCATTTCTCTGCATTGGTTATTCCAGTTATACAGTCGTTTAATTGTTTTTCAAAGTTTTTAACTTCTTTGCTATTGGTTTTGAATTTCCTCCTGTAGCTCGCAGTAGTTTGATCATCTGAAGCCTTCTTCTCTCAAATCGTCAAAGTTATTCTCTGTCCAGTTTTGTTCCGTTGCTGGTGAGGAACTGCGTTCCTTTGGAGAAGGAGAGGCACTCTGCTTTTTAGAGTTTCCAGTTTTTCTGCTCTGTTTTCTCCCCATCTTTGTGGTTTTATCAACTTTTGGTCTTTGATGATGGTGATGTACAGATGGGTTTTTGGTGTGGGTGTCCTTTCTGCTTGTTAGTTTTCCTTCTAACAGACATGACCCTCAGTTGCAGGTCTGTTGGAGTTTACTAGAGGTCCACGCCAGACCCTGTTTGCCTGGGTATCAGCAGCAGTTGCTGCAGAACAGCGGATTTTCGTGAACCACAAATTCAGCTGTCTGATCATTCCTCTGGAAGTTTGGTCTCAGAGGACTACCCGGCCGAGTGAGGTGTCAGTCTGTCCCTACAGGGGGGTGCCTCCCAGTTAGGCTGCTCGGGGTTCAGTGGCCCACTTTAGGAGGCAGACTGCCCAGTCTCAGATCTCCAGTTGTGTGCTGGGAGAACCACTCCTCTCTTCAAAGCTGTCAGACAGGGACATTTAAGTCTGCAGAGGTTACTGCTGACTTTTTGTGTGTCTGTGCCCTGCCCCCAGAGGTGGAGCCTACAGAGGCAGGCAGGCCTCCTGGAGCTGTTGTGGGCTCCACCCAGTTCCAGCTGCCTGGCTGCTTTGTTTACCTAAGAAAGCCAGGGCTATGGTGGGCCCCACTCCCCCAGCCTCGCTGCCGCCCTGCAGTTTGATCTCAGAGTGCCGTGCTAGCAATCAGCAAGACTCCATTGGCATAAGACCCTCTGTGCCAGGTGCAGGACACAATCTCCTGGTGTGCCGTTTTCCAAGCCTGTTGGAAAAGTGCAGTATTAGGGTGAGAGTGACCCGAATTTCCAGGTGCCGTCTGTCACCCCTTTCTTTGACTAGGAAAGGGAACTCCCAGACCCCTTGTGCTTCCTGAGTTAGGCAATGCCTCGCCCTGCTTCGGCTCCCACACGGTGGGCTACACTCACTGTCCTGTACCCATTGTTTGGCGCTCCCTTAGTGAGATGAACCCAGTACCTCAGATGGAAATGCAGAAATCACCCATCTGCTGCATCGCTCACGCTGGGAGCTGTAGACCAGAGCTTTTCCTATTTGGCCATCTTGGCTCCACCCCTCATTTCATTATTTCATCATTTCATCATTTCACTTCATTTCATCATTTCATTTCATCATTTCATACCATTTCTTCCTTTCATCATTTCATACCATTTCTTCATTTCATTTCATTTCACCATTTCACTTCATCATTTCCTTTCAGCATTTCATTTCATTTGCTCATTTCATTGTACCATTTCATTTCGTCGTTTCATTTCATTTCATCATTCCATTTCATCATTTCATCATTTCATTTCATCTCATCATTTCATTTCATCATTTCATTTCATTTCAGCATTTCATCATTTCACCATTTCATTTCATCTCATTTCATTTCATCATTTTATCATTTCATTTCATCATTTATCATTTCATTTCATTTCATTTCCTCATTTCATCATTTCGTTTCATCATTTCATTTCATTTCATGCCATCATTTCATCATTTCATTTCATTTCAGTGATACATGTATTTAAGTGCTAATGTGATGCCCGGGAAACACCCTATTTCCCTTTGTAAACACCTCCTTCAACAAAAGTCAACCTCTCATGGCTGGCAACGTCTACAGGGATACCAGCCTCTTTTCAACCACCCAATTTGATTCAGAACCTCAAACAGCACCTCAGTTTCATAGAAACCTAAAACATAAACACAACACTTGGTTGTAAGTGAGCCAACAGTTTCTTGTCTCTTTCTCTGCTCAAGGCTTAAGGCCATGACTCCCCAACTATGTTCAGTGGAAGAAAGATCCCCTGGACATATAAGTTTGAGAACTGTTGTGGCAGGACTTCTGACAACCTTTAAAACACAAATCCTCATCCGCAGGGATCTTCAGGAGGGAGATGGCTGATGCAGCACAACTTTCTTTCACAGGAGCATCTTGCAGAATACAGTATGAGATGCAGAAAGGCTGCATTGAGTCTTTTAAGGGCCAGGGCCTTTGTGGTGGTGGGGTAGGAGCTCTCCAGATAGCATCTAATGAGCAGGAACATTCAGGTTGCTTTTTTTTTCCTTACTGGCAAAACTGTGTGTGCATCATGAATGAAGCTGGTCTCCCTTATCCATATCAAAACTAAACCCAAATTAATTGGCTAAATTGGGACTCAACACCTCCAGGAGCCATGCGGAAGAAAGACCCACCACACTTTAAAGTAGCTTACCTCATCATATTTGATGAAAGCAGAAAGCTTATGACCAGTATGGTGCTAATACAAGTCAACAGATAATGCTGTATGAAAAATTATTTTTCCCAATCATAGCTAGCATAGTCCACATTTTGCATTACACCTTCGCCCCTTTTTTAAAATTTTAAACACAGGTCTTTTCTCTCCTTTTTTTAAATTTTAATTTAATTATACAAGACGGAGTCTCAGTATGTTGCCCAGGCTGGTCTTCAACTCCTGAGATCAAACGATACATCCGTCTCCACCTCCCAAAGTGCTGAGATTACAGGCCTGAGACACTGTGCCCGGCCTTAAACACAAATCTTAATTCATTCTTACAATCATCCTGAGGTTAGAAAAATGGAAGGGGAAGAAAAATGGCAAGCAGGTAGGCTGACTTCGGCTTCATTATTTGGAAGGACAGTTTGCTCAGTTAAAACACACTACTGCCCACAAAGGCCAAGACAACAGAAAAATACAGACATATAAGTAGATTTTATATGTGACAGCAGTTTGAATGGAGACTTTTTCAATGCAAATGACAAACAGCTGTCCTTGGGAATAAATGACAACGAATTTTTTTATCTCAACAGCTGTCCTGAGAGCATGTCTCTACATCTCTATCTGCATTCTGGAATCAGGGAGAAAGACAAAACGGACGACAAGAAACTAGATCAGCCGTGTCCAACCCTTTGACTACAAGGACTTTTCCGCCTATCTGTGGTGGTGGGTATCATGAAAATTATGCACAAACCTTTTTTTTTAAGCTCATCAGCTATTGTTAGCAGTAGTGTATTTATCTGTGGCCCAGGAGCATTCTTCTTCCAATGTGGCCCTGAGAAGCCAAAGACTGGACACCTGTGCATTAGATCAAAGGCTACTCCTTCTGGAAGCAATTGTAAAGAATTTCTGACATTATCTTGACATGAAAACAAATGGATAGTGGGACAGAATGAAAAATCTTCAAGAATTTTTCTTGTTGGTTTTTTTTTTTTTGAGTCAAGGTGTTGCTCTGTGGCCCAGGCTGGAGTACACTGGTGAGATCACAGCTCAGTGCAGGATCAAGTGCTCCTCCTGCCTCAGCCACAGTAGTAGCTAGGACTACAGATGGCACAACCACTCCTGGCTAATATTTTATTTTTTGTAAAGATGGGGTCTCACTATATTGTGCAGGTTGGTCTCAAACTCCTTGACTCAAGGGATCCAGGACAGGATAACAGGTGTGAGCCACCACACCTGGCTATGTGCATGAACTTTTAAGACAAATACAAGGCTCCACAAAAGTTAAGGTTTTCCCACCTAATTTCCAGGGGATCTTTTGGTGCAAGGATGAGAAACCCTTAAAAGTACACAGACAACTCCAAAGATTCAAGAGAGTTCATTCGGGCTGAGCCAGCCCACGCGCAGACTGACCTTCAAACAAGGCCCACCCATGACATACACCAGATGGCTCTCCAAGAATCTCTCCAGTTCTCAGGGTCCCTAAGGTACTGGACAGAGCTAGGAAAGCAAACCCATTTGCTTCTTCCTGCAGGAAACCCCTTGAGGTCAAGACCCTACAATCAGACAAGGATGGAGTGGCTCACCCTCAGTCAACAGGCCAGACTCAAGGTGGTATAATGTCTTAACCAAGGGTGTGAGACTCCAGGTCTGAATCCTAACTCAGTTCTCCTTTGATAACCACACTTTGTTAATTTTTCTTAACAGGGGTTCCTGGCAAGTCATTTCTCCCTCAGGCCTTCGGTTTCTTCGCCTACAAGATGAGAAGTCTGCACCAGATGGAAATTCGGGGCGTAAGGGGATGTCCGCGCGAAGCCCACACCGCCCACGGGCCCCTCGAGCCTCATCACAGTTCCCAACACGCACCCACCCACAAATCCCGCCCAAGGTGATGGCTGGTCCCGGGTCCTCCGGCTGCCGCATCAGCGATTGCAGGAGGGAGGAGAAGCCTCCAAGGGGTGACGCGGGCTCAAGGATGCAACTCGGCCAGGAGTGAACTGGGGCCCCGAGGGAGATGTCCAGTCCGGTGCTGGAGCCCAGTCCTGGTCCCTGACCCCCTTACCTCCACGGTCCATGTCTCCTGCTGGGTGAGGTCCTTGGACACAGCGCACTTGGTGCGCAGCCCGCGCAGGCTGCCAAGGGAGATGCCGATGAGCTTCTGGAGCTGCCCGCACTGCTGCAGCACCCGGCTGGCCGCGGCCCCTGCGCCTCCCTTCGCGATAGCCGCGTCACCCCCGCCACCACTCTCCTTCTTCTCTCCCATCGGGGCCGAGCACAGCGCTGCTGTATGCAGGCGGCAGCGGCCCAGGAGCGGAGCCTGGGGCGCGGGTGTCTAGGTAAGGAACTTCCGAACCGGGGAGCTGGACCAGGAGCGACCCTCGGCGCTGCCTTAGCCAGGACGCTGGTAGATCTGGCAGCCGAGTCTGCGGATCCCCTCCTCAGACCCGCGGCAGTGGGGGCAAAAAGCCGCGGCGGTGGGGGAAAAACCCGCGATGGCGGGGTGAAAAAGCCGTAGCGGTAAAAACCTGTGGCGGCGGGAGTAAAAAGCCGCGGCGGCGGGTAAAAAGCCGCGGTGATGGGGGCAAAAAGCCGCGGCGGCGGGGGCAAAAAGCCACGGCGGCGGGGGCAAAAAGCCCTGCAGCGGGCGCAAAAAGCCGCAATGGTGGGGCAAAAAGCCGGGACGGTGAGGGAAAAAGCCAGGGCGACGGGGGCAACAAGCGGCGGCGGCGGGGGCAACAAGCCGCGGCGGCCGGGGCAAACAGCCGCGGTGACAAAAAGCTGCGGCGGCCGGGGCAAAAAGCTGCGGTGACGGGAGCAAAAAGCTGTAAAAAGCCACAGCGTCGGGGGCAAAAAGCCGCGACGGCGTGGGCAAAAGCCACGGTGGCGGAGTAAGAAGCCGCGGCGGCAAAAAGATGCGGCGGCGAGGGCAAAACGGTGCGGCGAGGGCAAAAAGCCACGGCGACGAGGGCAAAAAGCCCCCAAAAGCCGCAGCGTCGGGTGCCTAAAGCAGCAAAAAGCCGCGGCGGAGGGGGTAAAAAGCCGCAAAAAGCCGCGGCAGAGGGGGCAAAAAGCAACGGCGGCAAAAAGCCACGACGTCGGGGACATGAAGCCGCAAAAACCCTTGGCGGCAGGGGCAAAAAGCCGTGGCGGCGGGGGCGAAAAGCCACGGCGAGTGGGGCAATTAGCCGCGGCAGCAAAACCCGCGGCGGCGGGGGCAAAAAGCGGCTGGGGTGATAAAAAGCCGCTGTGTTTAGACTTCATGTGACAGGAAGCCGCGCAGGGGGCAAGGAGCCACGGCGGCGGGGGCAAAACGCTGCTGTGGCGGGGCAAATAGAAGCAAAAAGCCGCGGCGGCGTGGGCAAAAAGCTGCAAAAAGCCCGGGCGGCGGGGCAAGAAGCCGCGGCGGGAAAAACCTGCGGCGGCACGGGCGAAAAGCAGTAAAAAACCGCGGCGCCGGGGCCAAAAGCCATAAAAAGCCTCGGCGGCGGTGGCAAAAAGCCGCGGCGGAAAAATTCGCGGTGGCGGGGGCAAAAAGCTGCGGCAGCAGGGGAAAAAGCCACAAAAAGCCACGGCGGCGAGGACAAAAAGCCGTGTCTTCGGGGCAAAAGCCGCGGCGGCGGGGGGAGAAAGACGCAAAAAGCCGCGGCGGCAGGGGCTAAATTCCGCGAGGCCGGGGGCAGAAAACCGCGGCGGCGGGGGCAGAAAGCAACGGCGGCCGGGGCAAAAAGTTGCGGCGGCGGAGGCATAAAGCCGCAAAAACCCGCAGCGACGGGGGCAAAAATCCATGGCGGCAAAAAGCCACGTCGGCGGGGGCAAAATAGTGGAAATGGGGTAGAAGGCCAGCACTGCTTGGCATTCCTGGAGTGTGATGTGGAAGGAAAAGTGCAGAGGAAGACAAACAAAGATGTAAGTAGGCTTGACTCAGTGCAGCTAAGAACCCAGATGTTATCTTGATGTTATCTATCAGCTAATTTTTTGTATTTTAGTAGAGAAGGGGTTTTACCACGTTGGCCAGGATGGTCTCTATCTCCTGACCTCATGATCCACGCACCTCAGCCTCCCAAATTGGTGGGATCAGAGGCATGATCCACAAAGTGCTCAAAAAATCTATTAATTAAAAAATGTGTATGTAGCCGTCTTTAATCTACCATGTCCATTAGCAGATAAATACCATAAGCAAAATAACAACAATGAAAGAAACATAGACTTAGAGTAGATACTCTGATTTATTTAATAAAAATTTGAAAATAGACCAAATTACTCTATGATAAAAAAAAATCTGTTACTATTGAGGATGAGGGTTAGTGTTTGGAAAGGGGCAGGAGAAGTATCTCTATTTTTAGTAATGTTCTATTTTCATACATGGTTATAAGCAAATACATGTGTTTCATTAATGAAGCTATCCATATTTAATTATTGTACTTTTCTACATGTATGATATATGTCAATAAATGTCTTAAATTATATACAGCAAAAATAGACAAAAACACAAGAAGACATACACGAATGTTAAACCTAGAGAGAAATTTGAATATAAGTAAGTCTCTGAATGACTGGTAGAACAATCCGAAAAATAGGATGGGGAGGTTTGGAATAGCATGATTAGCAAAATTGACATATCTGTCTTTTAATATAGGTAGAAACATAGTTAGATAAAAAAAGGACTTGTCTCAGAGCATGATTTCTGAAAATAGTGGAATCGAGTTTGAATCTAGTAAGTACATATAAATAAATGTCTTAAAACTCCTCTTATGTTAGATAATTAGGAAATATTACTGTAATAGATATTAGAAAATATTTTAATAAATTGAGTGCATTTCACACGCTAAGGAAATGATCTTACTTGCATTTGATAGCTCAATTAGATACATATATACCTATAGGTAGTTTAAAATATTTCTAATAACGTTATATACTTTTAAAAAGCATTGATATCTGTTTGCACTATCTGGTCTATAGGGTACACATACCAAACATGATTATAGCTCTTCTGCTATAAACTTCAAATGTCTAATTAATACAAAATCTAGAATGAGAAGAGTTCTTCGCAATTTTCTTTTTTTTTTTTTTACCAAATAGAATATAGGAAAGATAGCTGCAAATATACCTGACACACTTATCTGTGAGTATGGTGGTAGCCTTTTTATTTTATTTTATTTTGAGAGAGGGTCTCACTTTGTCACCCAAGATGGAGTGCAGTCATGTGATCAGAGCTCACTGAGGCCTTCACATACTGTGCTCAAGCGATTCTCCCACCTCAGTCTCCTGAGTAGCAGGGACTGCAGGTGCATGACACCATACTAGCTAATTTTTGTGAAGATGGGTTTTCACCATGTTGCCCTGGCTGATCTCCAACCCCTAGACTCAAGAGATCTGGCCACCTTGGCCTCCCAAAGTGCTGGGATTATAGTTTTGAGGCACCGCGATCAGCCCAGCCTTAAAAAAGGCTGACTAGAGATCTTCATCTATGTATATCTATATCTATCTATAAAATAAACGTGTGTTTCTTATATAAACACATATATTATTAATATTATATAAAAATTTTTTTCAAGGTAGAAATATATAAAGAGGGTGCATGCAGAGCCTGGGGCATTGTGTAGTGAAGCTCAAGGCCTCTGGAGAAATGCCCCTTGCCTCTTTTGTCTGGGCTAGAATCCGAGAAGGGAAAGCAGCAGATGCACTGGTTCCCAGGTTCTTGGCATCCTACAGAGAGAAACTTGTTTGAGCTAGGGTAGTGTTTAACACCTTTGTTCTTACTCTTCTGTTTTATGTAGTAAGCAGAGACTAGCTTCATGAAAACAGACTGTGACAGTCAAGGCTGTCTGTTATTTTGTGCAGCATTAATTGAGAAATTCTAGCACCTGAAGACCTCTGGGCCATTTGAGGGTAGGTGCAGGGGAGGAAAGGGAAGTTTGCATCCCTCCTGCTGTGGAGAGAACCCGTGGGAAGCACAGACCTTGTCCTAACTGAAGGCAGACCCCCTTGCTAACCAGCTTCTCATCAGCCAACCCTGGATGAGGTTCCATGTCTATTTACTAAATAATCTTTTTGCTTTTCTTCATATGGGCAAAGTATGGTTTACAGGGAATATTGTTCCTTTGAACACCCATCGTGGAAACCCCTTCCTGTTGTGGGAAAACAGGCTTCCATATGTGTCTTATTGGGAAACACATAGGGAATTTCTGTGTTTTTACGGCATCTATTTCAGGGATATGGGAAATGAATAGTGCCCATCAAAGGCTCACCTGATGTTGGAAATTGATCTGAGATCGCGGAAGGACAGAATTGTTTCTTTGTTCCTGGGCAGCTGTGGTTGAGGGATCATTTTGTGGCAGCTACGGTGGCAATGATGGAGGCAGAACGGAGGGCTCAGTACCAAGACGAGGAGAGATTTGGCCTCACAATGGCAGCATTGCAGGGGTGCGCTCTACAAAGCATTTGCTCACATGGTTTTGGGCATTGTCTCTAACTACATTGCTTCCCCAATAGGTTGACCCATTCTAACTAACTCCTTTTCTCTTTAAAAAAGCAAACTTCATTTGTATGACTTGCAATTGTAAATTACACCAATTGGCCAGTTATCATTCAAATTCTCTGTTACTTAATCCTGACTTTTCCTGACGTATGCAACTTTCCCGTAAAAAATTGGACACTTTGTTGCTTACTCATGGTCTTTACACATTTTAAAATGTTGCTTTATGCCCCCAATCCCTAACTACATTTTCGATGTTTTGCAAGTGGAGTCCATGTGTTCTTGATTTACATGAAGCTCAAAATAATGGTTATAGTAACTAGTACTTCATAATTAAGCAAAAAGCTCTTATTGAAAAATGACAGAACTATACATAGGGATGACAACATGGAGAGATATTTCTTGAGATCACAAAGTTATGGTATGGCAGAAGTAGAATGCTGAGTAGAGACCCTGTGTTCCCAATCATTATTTCTACCACCAGCTTTCTATTTTGATGTTAATAATGTTCTTATGTGGGAAACCCTACATATTTGCCAATGTTTAGTTCATTGACAAAGAAATAGAAAGAGCTTCAAGAACACTTTAATCTTTAAAAAGTAAAATATCTATAATTGGCCATACGAAAAAATTGGTACTTGACATATACTAAGATCGTTTTATTTTGTGCTAGACAAATGAAGTCATAGAACAGAATGTGCTTTAAATATTATGAATAGTGCCTGTGTGTGTGTGTGTGTGTGTGTGTGTGTGTGTCTATAGATGCATATTAGGCTGCTGAAAAGTTTTATTATTCTTTCCAGCAGAGAGACTGCCAACTTTTGAACCTAACTAGAACAAGTATATTGCTTCTTCATATTTTTATTAAGACAAAGAGAGTCTAGTTAAAAATAATTCAACTTGTCGTGGAAATGCTATAAATTGCTGTGAAGTGAGTTGCTGGCTATGGCTTGTCAGAGCAAATATATTGTACAAATCTTAGGTGAGAATTAATGCTTGGGCATTAAAATCAGATCATCTTGCAGGACACTGAGAACATGGTTAGATTTTTAAAATAATTTCAAAGTCATGAAAAGAGCAAATATGTTCCACAAAGAGCCTAGCAACCCTCAATGACCAATGCCCCTTTTATATAGTTTGGTATCTGAATTAGAATCCCAGAATCTACAAATTCCTCTGGGTGTGGGTGCTGCATTTTGAGGATTTTATAACACTGCCATCACCAAGCTCTCTTTTGATATTCACTTTAAGGAGATAATTTACGGGCAACCAGAGAGCATAAACCAAAGTAGATATCTATCTAGATAGCTAGATACATCTCCATATCATTGACAGGATACATTTTGGCCGAGTGTGAGTACAACCTATGGATGTGGTTGGAGAGAACATGTGTTCCACCTGAATGGCAGATCAGGATTATTCCTTCTCATCTGCTGCAATGGCTCAATGTGTTAAGGAGAGGAGCGAGACAGCAAGAACCGCATTCATTCAGTCATACAGAGCAAAAGGAGGAATGTCGCCCAGCTCTCTAAACTGACCCAGAACCCAGCTCATGTCTCAACTGCTACCTCTCCTACTTAGAAAGAAGTAACTCCACCAAAGCAGGGTTCTGGACAAATATATTTTTATTGATCATATACAAATAGATGAAGATGGACTTGGATGTTAATAAAAATAATACTATACAAAACCGAGAGTAGACAGTCGCCCCTAGACTTAAATTAAGGTCTGTACATTAGATAATTTAATCCAATGTATCAGGTAAAAACTTGAACAAACTTTTTGACCTCTTCCTTAAAATTCAGGGAAATATGTCCTCCACAAAACAGAATCAAAATATAAATAAAAGACTGGCTTAAGATGAAAGGAAACCTTACAAATGAAAAGAAGCCAGATGAGAGGCACTTAACTGAGAATGAAAAGAAACTGAGTGGACAAAATAATTATGAGAAGATGAACCTTCAAATCAGAAAGAGGGAAAAAAGCTTATTTGGTACTATGGGAACTCAAAAGAGCGTGAATACAAATGTGAAAATTCCAGGAGTAAAGAAAAGTAGCATAGCTAAATTAAGAGCATGAGAAAATGTATACAATTTTGAGTAATAAGAACAGAAATAAAAAGTAACTATAGTATGTTATATTTTAGTAGAGCAACACTGAAGAAGAATGAAAACAAGAAATAATATTAAATATGAACATATGGAGAACAGAATAATATTTTTAAAATTTTTAGTTTCTAAGCTTATCTGAAATTTTAATTTTGTTTTCTTATGAAATACCAGAGTTATTAGGAAGGTATTATCTAATAACACTATTTTCAGTGATATTTTAAGTAGTTGTCCTAGAAAAATTTCTATTTTTAAAAATGTATATTTAAAAATACATTAAATGTGTATATACATCAATCATATGTATCGATTTCTGTTTTTCTTGAATTGCAAATGAAATTTGTATTTTTGTGTTCCTGGAATAAAATAAACTTGAATGGATTGTAATATATTATTCATGCTGTAATTCAATGTATTTGAATACTTTAAGAATATTACATTTATAGTTAACAGATACTGACCTATAAATTTTCTGTCATATAATGATGCTGTGAGACAATCTAAGAAGAAATAAAATTTAAATTCATGTATTCCTATTTTTTTCTCTGTTCTCTAACTGTAATATATTTTAATTACAGATGGAGGAACATATAGATGTTAGATAAATAGATATATAGTAGATAGATCATCCAAAATTCTTATTCTTATGGTTTTATGTAGTCAGTATTTACCTCTATTTTTCTACATGTTTATCCTTCCAATTTAGTTCATTACTTCCTGCACCTTTGATGTCATATATATAAACAGGAAATAACACATGGTGGCCGGGATGTAGAGAGAGCCACAGGACTTGTGAATAAAATCCACAGGCAAAGATGTGGCGATTCCTTTTGCAATATTGGAGGGAATGCCAAACCCTATGTTTGCTGTGGAAAAGAGTATGATATTTCCTCAAAACATCAAAATGGTATTGCCTTATGATTCAGCAGCCCCACATCTCAAGATAGCAAAAGAATTGAAAGCAGAGTCTTGAAAAAATATTTGCACATCCATGTTTGCAACAGCATTATTGGCAATAGCTAAAATATAGAAGCAATTGAAGTGTCCAACAACAGATGAATGGATAAGCAAAACATGAAGTATACATACAATGGAAAATTATTCAGCCTTAAACATGAGGGAAATATTCTGACATATGTTGCAACTTGGATGAAACTTGAGGATATTATGCCAAATTAAATGTTAGTCAGTGAAGGACAAATACAGTATAATTCCATTTGTATAAGAGACTTAAAGTGGACAGAATCATAGAGATAGTAAAATGATGATTGCCAGAAGCTGGGGGGAGGAAGACATGGGGAAGTACTATTTAATGGGTATAGGGTTTCAGTTTCACAAGATGAAACGAGTTATGGATATGGATGGTAGGGATGGCTGCACAATGTTATGACTCTGGTACCACTGAACAGTACACTTAAAATGGTTAACAGAGTACATTTTACGTTATGTGTATTTTACCACAATAAAAAAATAAAATACCTTAAGAACATTTTCCTGAAAGAGTCCACATAAAATTCATTTTAATGCATGTGTTTATGCATAGCTTTCTATTTTTCTCTTTTCTATTTATATTCCAAATTAGAATACAATGCTAATCAAGCATAGTGGCTGTGTTTCTTGCTTCCTCTAGTCTGCAGGTAGCATACAAATGTAATAAACTACTCATTAATGTCACATCTATTTATTTTCTGCCTTATACCAAGCTTGTGGGATTCTCTTAATTACAACATTTTTATACTTACACCTATGCAATACCCATTAGCATCGCCTTCCTAAATCAGGCGAAACTGAGTCTCTGTAAGGTGCAGTAACTTACTAAGATACAGAACTCAGCATTAAAGTCTGTATACTTCAATATCCTGCCCTCTTCTCATTTGTCTTTACTGCCTTTTATGTATGTGTTAGATGTTCAATAAATTCTCTTTTTTAAACTGAATTTAAGCCGTGGAGCAGTGTTTTGTTGAACAATAAATATGATATTGGACACTCTTCCTCCCTTTCATTTATGATGAGTTCATGAAAAAGAGAAATTCTTTCATTGTGGTAGAAGCTTAAAATAATGAAAATGCCACTTTCTACATTAAACAGAAACTGAAGGGAATCAAGATGAATTGGATGAGACATAGAAAACAAGTGGGAAATAAATCTAGTATAATTTCCCCTTTGTGTACCTTTGTTATTTAGCATTTGAGAAAATGCTTCCCCCAAATATCTTCCCATCTTAATTCATGTCTATAAAGTAGACATTTATGTCTCACCTTGTCAAGAAGGGCAAACTCTAACTTAAACATTTCCCAAAAATGCTTCCTGCTAAAACATAAGCTCAGTCTGGTTAGAAATTAAGCTCACTTCATAAAAATTTGTTGGTAGCTAATCTTTGCATGCTGTTCTCTGAACTTGAGTGAAAGCTGTCCATCAGGCATACAGGGAATGATGGAAAAGGTGACAACGGAAGATGAATGCTATGTCACTAACCTTCAAAGATGACCTTCCTTTTCTTTCAAATTCTTGACATCTTAAGACTTCATTAATTCATCTTTCTTTGCCCTTGGTTCAACATTGTGCTATTCCAAAACTCATGTAAAACCATGATCTATTGTAATAAAAATGGCATTTTTCTTTCATGTAGATGCAAGCTATCTGGCATTTTTACAATCAACATACTTCCGTTGTCAATTTTTCATTCTGTATTGGAAGTAATTGATAGGTATTTCTGAAGGGATGAAGGTGTTTCTGTGTTCATTGTGATCCAAACTTTTTTTAGACCTAGTGGTGTTTGTAAAACAATTTGTGCCAGCTGACCAAGGATCACTGTGGCAGAAAGCAGCAAACTTGCATAAGATGTCACTGCCTCATCAGTTGGCTTTGAAAACTAGGGGCTTATTCTATAGTCCTATGAATCAAAGACATTGATAGATGTAGTATAAGATTACAATCATATTTTCCTTTTGACAGTCACATTATAAAGCATGATGTATTGCAATTAATCTCAATTAGCTGATGACAATTAAAATTAATAGTTTATTATTGCTGATAAACAATCATGACTCTCCTGTTCTCAAACGTGCAAGTAATTCTTGTAATTTTAATACAAATCTGCATATTATTACTAATTGATTTAATCTCATTGTATTTGGTTCATGGATCCAATTTATTAAAATATTGATAATGGGGTAATGATTTGTCTCCCCATTTCATTTACACTAAAAGACACAATTCGTACAATGGTCTGCAAGCCCATCATGATCTGCCGCATGTTAACTGCCAAAATTCTTTTATGTCTTCACCCTTGATCTTACCAGTGGTCCTGTCCACCTCACTGTCCTCTGGACATGCCAACATGCTGCTGTCTTATGACCAAGACTCTAGTTAATTTCTTGGCTTGGAAAGATAGCCCTCCATATATCCATTGCTCAGCTCATTCAACTTCCTCAAGTCTTTACTGAAACCTCACATTCTCGATGAGACCTATTCAGTATTTTAAACTGCCTCCCAGCTGCAACATTCCAAAACCCCTTAGTCTTCTGTGTATTTTTGAAAGGATTTATTGAGATATAATTTACATACTGTAGAGTGCACATATTAATGTCTACAAGTCAATGGCTTTTAGTATATACACAGATAAGTGGAGCCATCATCACAATGAATTTTAGAGCATTTTCATCACTTCAAAAAGAAACCCCACCTTCTCTAGCTGTTAACCTCCTATGCACTCATCCCCTACTCAATCCTAAGCAGCCACAAATCTGTTTTCTGTCTCTGTAGATTTTCCTATTCTATTTTCATCTAAATAGAATCATACAACAGGTGGTCTTTTGTGCCTGGCTTCTTTCAGTTGGCATAATGCTATCAAGGTTCATAGCGTATTGGTACTTTATTTCTTTTTATAACTGTATAACATTCAATTTCATGGATATAACATTTTGTTTATCCAATAATATTTTTATTGACATTTGAGTTGTGTTCAGCCTTTGGCTATTTTAAATACTGCTGCTAAAAATACTTGTGTACAATTTGTGTTTGAACACCTCTTTCCAATACTCTGGGTGTATACCTGGGAATAAATTTCTGGGTCATATGACAATTCTATGTTTAATATATTTAGAAGCCATCAACCTATTTTCCAAAGTGGCCAGTTCTAGCCATAGAGTATCTAACTGTGTTTCTGATTTGTAGTTGCCTGATGAGTGATGCTGTTGAGTAACTTTTTATGGGATTATTGACCGTTCGTGTATCTCCTTGGGATACACATCTATTCCTATCATTTATCAGTTTTGAGTTGGGATTTTTGTTACTGAATTAAAACAATTTTTCTATATTCAAGATACATATATATGCAGACATATAGATATGTGTTTTTCAAATATTTTCTCACAATTTTTGAGCTGCCTTTTGACTTGCTTGGTTGTCCTTTGAAACACCAATGTCTTTAATTTTTAAGAAATTTTAAATATCTAATTTTTATTTTGTTGCTCATGTTTTTGGTGTTACAGCTATTTCTTTGCTAGATCCAAAATCCTGAAGATTTTCCCATATGCTTTATTCTAGATCTTGCATGTATGTCTTTAATTCATTTGAGTTAATATTTTTGTATGCTCTGGGATAAGTGTTCCAATTTATTATTTTGCAAGTGGCGATCCACGTGTACGTTGTTGACCTAGTTTGTTCAAAGACTGTCTCTTCCTCATTGAATTGCACATGGCACCACTGTAAGAATCCATTGACTATAGATACATAGTTTTATATATGGACTCTCAATTCTCTTCCATCAATCTATATATTTTTCCATCATCGGTATTGTGTTGTCTTGATTACTGATGCTTTGCCGTAAAGTTTGGAGCACAGGGGTGTGAATTATCCTAATATGGTTTTTTTTCAAGATTATTTTGGCTATTTTGAGTCCCTTACAATCCCACGTGTATTTTAGATTCAGCTTGTCAGTTTCTAGACAGAAGTCTGTTGGAATACTTGCAGGGATTACGTCAAATCTGTAGTTCAACTTGTAAAGTACTACAATATTAAATCTTCCAATTCATGGCTGTAAGATGTTTGCTAATTATTTAGATCTTCTTTAAACAATAATTTTTAATTTTCAGAGTAAAATCTTGTATCACATTTTCCAAATTAATTATTATTTCTTTTTTTGATGCTATTTTAAATTGAAGTGTTTTCTTAATTTCATTTTGGGGTTTTCATTGTAGATGTGTGCAATTGATTTTTGTACATTTATCTTGTATGCTGTAATATTGCTGAAATAATTTACTAGTTCTATCGTTCAGTGGATTCCTTAAAATTTTCTATATACAAGAATGTTATCTTCAAATAAAGTTTTATTTCTTCCTGTTCAATATGGGTGACTCTTATTTTTTTAGTTGCCGATTTGCCCTGCATAAAATCTTTAGTACAGTGTTGACTAGAAGAGGTCAAAGTATATATCTTATTCTTATCTCTGACCATAGCGGGAAAGCATCCTTTACCATTAAGTTGCATGCTTGCTGTTGGCTTTTCACAGGTGCCATGTATCTGGTGTAGAAAGTTCTCTATTCCTGGTTCATTGAGTTTTTATTTTTATTTTTAATCGTAAAAGCATTTGGATTTTATTAAATGTCTTTTCCAAATCTATCGACATGATCATGCAATTCTTGTTTCTTATTCTATGAATAAGATGTATTACCTTAATGGATTTTGGGCTGTTAAACCAACCTGAGATTACTAGTATAAATTTCACTTTGTCATAGTGTATAATTCTTTTATATGTTGCTAGATCTGATTTGTTAGTAGTTTTTAAGGAATTTTGCATTTATACTTATAGTAGTTTTATTTTTCTATGTTATTTGGACTAATTTTTGTATCAAGGTAACACTGGCCCCACAGAATAAATTGGGAAGTGAATATTTCTCTTTTTAAAAAAAGTCAGTCAAGAATTAATATCAATTAGTCAATACTAACAAATATGATTAATATTATAAATTATTAATTTCTCTAATTTTTATTTTCTTCCTTCTGCTTTTTTTAGGTTTATTTTGCTATTCTTTCCAGTGCCTTAATGTGGAAGGTCATCTTATCTCATCCTTTCCTTTGTCTTTTCGTTTTCAAAATAGTGTCTTTTTAGCATCAGGTGAGCTCCCCAGGTTGGTAGTACTCCATGTTTATTGCTGTACAACAATGACAGGTAATATGTCCTGAAGACAATGGAAACTTATTCAAAATCCTCCTAGATTCCACCTTATGTGATATGTCTCTTCCTTTGATTGGTCCTAATTTCTACCCTTTCTCTATTATAAACCATGAGTACAATGGCATTCAATAAGTTCTGTGTATCTTTTTAGTAAATTCTTGAAACTGAGGGTGTTCTGGGGAAACCCCTGAACTGGCAGTTGGTGACAAAAGTGCGAATCATCTTATATGGCCTCTTCCTTTGAACTTTGCAGCTGGACCCAAACTCTGCACAATTTGGGCCCGAAGTCTTGTGTTGACTTTGCAGCCTAAATTATCTTGTAGTTTGTCTAACCCTCAATAAATTTGCTTTCATCAAATATTGTATTTGTTACACCAAAATTACCATCATGTTTTTTTCTCCAAATAACTAACATTGGGAGAAATAGCCAGCTGAATCTGTAACTCAACAGAAACAAGTGATCCATATACCATATAAGTGGCCATTTCATTTTTCCTCCTTCCACCAAATCTTAGCAACCTCAACCATTGCCATGAGCCACTGTAGGCCTACTGTCTACAAACAAACAAGTATCTTTTAAAAACACTTCATACTCCCATTTGATAAATTTCCCAGCAAAGAGATGCTTATTTAACTCTATGCAAGTGGCTCATATTCGCAAAGTCTGGAGATATTATTCATGTAGTGTGAGAAAATCTTCCCAGCGATGCCAGCACATTCTCCTTCCCATGATCTGCTTAGTTTGCAAACATATTCAGGCCATAGGTGAGAGATTTGTATTTCACAGTACAACAATTTTATGGAGGTCATTGAAACTTAGATTTAGCATTTTAGCACAGTCACAAATCACTGAATGACAGGGATACGTTCTAACAGATGCATCCATAGGCAATTTCATCATTTTGCAAACGTCAGAGAGAATATTACAAACACCTAGTTTGTACAGCCTACCACGTTTAGGTTATATGGTATAACCTCTCTCTCCTAGGCTACAAACCTGTGTACTACATTACTATACTGAATACTGCAGGCAATAAAAACACAGTGGTAAGAGTTTATGTATCTAAACATACTTAAACATAGAAAAGTATGTAAAAATATGTATTATAATCTCATGGGACCACTTTTGTATATGTAATCCATCTTTGAAACGTTATTATACATGACCTGACTCTATGACAAAAATAATACATTTAAAAAAATGTACACATGTATCAAACATATTATTATAAAAATAAAAATATTTATTCAGTGTAATAATTTGTAATGATCACAAAATGTTCACAGCTTATATATAAGTACAGTTTCAAATGCCTAGTGCAATTACTATTTATTTCTTTGTGTATTTTAAACAGGTATATAATAAATATTTTTCAGGTTCAACAATATATATCAATCCTACAGACTCTTATAAATATTAGTTAAAATCAATTGGTAAATTCATGTATATATATGCATACCTGTATCAGTGAGAGTGTGTGCATGTATGTTTGTGTAAATGTAATTGTATGTGTGTGTAAATGTAATTGGATGCATCCTTATATTTACCCTTACCTACAAGATTTCCAAGATTCATTTATTATCTTTAGATGATGGGTATTTAAAGATTTACCAAATACAACTGTTAATAGTGGAAAATATCAAGATGTTATTAAAATCATCTTGTGCACATAATGTTTTCTATAAATTTATGTTTCTTGCAAAACTTGCAGTAATGCTCATGCACAAAATAATTTTCTAAATAAAAAATAAAAACATTTTCTCAGTCAGTCATTAATTCTTAAAATTATTTCTCCCCAATAATTAATGTGAATTAATTCTTAATTCTTAATTATAGAATAATGTTGCCCTTCAGAGTTCGGAAATTTTTACATGTTGTACACATTTCACTAACCAGAACAACTTCTGAAATATTGGCATTAATTAATGTCACTCAGCAATTATTGATTTCAAAGGCATTAAATACCATTCATATTCTGAATCACAAGGGTACTTTGGCATCTTATTTAATCAAGCTCTTTGTATCATCATCTACACTTTAATTACTTAACAAACATTTCTCTGTGTGAGAAAGATTGAGCAGGTTATTGTGCTTTTTTAAGAGGCAAATTTTGCTTAATCTAGAGATAGGCAATGCTCCCTATAAGGGACAAGGAGAAAAATAAATGAGACATAGAGATGTGACAGGCATGGAAAAAGACACTACATATATCAAACAAATAGGGCCATGGATGACGATAATGGGGATCAAATCTTGAGATACTGACTCAGTTTATAACTGCACTGTATAATAGAGCAAATCATTTGTTAATTTTTTTACAAATGAAATTTAATTAAATTAAGATGAATACAGTGTTTTAAACAAGGCAGGTCATCTTAAAATAAAATAGTGGAATAAAGTGATAAAACCAATGTAAAAATCATAAACATTTTATAAATAATTTTTGTCATGTAATTTAATATTTTTGTTCATTTAAAATCACCCAAATCAAAATAATTTTATCTTAATTAACAAATAATCATCAGAAGTTTAACTAATTTTTACTTTATAATACTAGGTTTAAAAATTCTTAACTATATTTTTAATCACATATGCTTATATATAAAATAGACAGGATATATATTTACATGTTCACAATATTATATTGTAATTGCTCCTATGGATGTGGTTTTTCGATAGAATTAATATGTACTTTTAAAATGTTTCAATTTCAATGATGCATATGATTGATTTTTCTTAGACAAAGCATACATATATTGATAGGTAATAATATGAAAATCTTCTAAAGGCATTACAAGAACACGAAAATGTAATTAAATACTCACTAATTAGTAATGTTTTATGTAAGCGGAACACATTTAACTGAAAATTGCTTTTATATAATACTCAAACGAGACTAAAAACTTTTAACCAGCGGAGTAAGTCTTCAAATTGATAATCTGAACTATATAAGAGGAGAAACTTCAGGCACTCAAATATTTGAAATGCTACAAAATATTTATATAAACTATTATTTCACAATTTCTGTTTGTAGAGTGCTATACAGTAATCAGTATAAATGACATCTCAGTCTTTCTATAGCTTTGACCACATTTACCTCCTAATTTTAATTATTAATATGTTGGAGCAGTGCATACAACTAGATTCTGATCTTCCTTTTTAATGAGTAAAAATATGTCCTTTGAGACAGCATTAAAGAAAGAGCACCTTGTATAAATTCAATGCCAGAAGACAAGATATTCTTGATTCTGAAGTCTTGTTCTTTTATACAGCAATGTAATTAATAAGAAGAAAAGCAGGACATAGATGTGGAGCCTATTTTAATAAAAAATTGTCTATAGATTTTGATGATAAAATTTAAAAATCTACTATATTTAGTTAGTTTCAAAAAACTAGGTTGTGGGAACATAGTTGGTCAACAAAACACCCCTACCAAGTGCTGACAAGAAAAAAAGTTAGGTACCACCTTTCTTCTCTGCAGATGGCCTGAGATGGGTTAATTTGAAAGAATGCTTCAAAAGCTGAGGCGACCCCTGAGAACAGCATAATCCACTGCTGTCTCCCATATTCAGTTTCTCAGTTTGTGCTCTTTAAATTTTGCTGGGAGGGAAGCCAGCCCTTTAAACCGATCTTCAGCATGATGGCAGAGCCAAGGAGTGTGGACAGGTGGCACGGTGTCTGACTTTGTTCCAGCAGCCACTTGGGATTTCTCTGGATCTTCTCTGCCCTAGGGATAGCACCACTATTGAAAACATATCTTTGTGACATTCTCTATGCCAGGAACTCCCAAAACATTTTCCTTGAAACAGATGAAATGAATAAAAATAAACCAAGAGGTGTGCTGTTTGTTTCTGTTTCCTCCTTTCTGCAGCCCTTCTTGATCATCTAATATTTTTAAATACATTGTCGATCACCAAAAGGAGCAAAGGGGTATATTGATTTGTAGCAGATGTATTAATAGCCCAGCCCCTATTCCTTACCTGTAGCTGCTGGGAAGAAAACCATTCTTAACACTCTACAAGTTCTCATCTCCAGAATTTGCAGCTGTTTCTAGCTGAGGACTTTCTCTAGCAGCACGGGAGCTTGATACTGGGCATGAAGTGGGAAGAAAAGGTGAGGGTAACTAAGAAGAATCTCCCTGGATTCAGTGATGTAATTCTGAGGCATGTTCCACATAGCTTCCCATAGAATTAAGCCCAGATATCTAACACAGGAACTTGCCTCTTAACACGTGTGGTACTGGCTTTTCTATCTTTCCTGTTTTATTTTGTTCTCTCTTCCTTGTCTCACTTTCACTGTGTCCTCACTCCTGCTTTAAGAATACCCAAAGAAATACATTCATTTAATTTTTTATAGTCTCAGAACACAGTTGATAGTGTAACTTGTGATCTATGATAATCAGCTTGGATGCTATACTGACAGGAAAATGGTGAACTCACAATGTCTAAGTAAGATAAAATTAAAAAGTATATTGATTAATGTCCAAAGATTTAAAAAACCTAAGCGGCAGTGTCACAATTTCTTCTTTTTAGTTTACATGGTTTCTTAAACGCCTACAATTATTTTAAAGGAAGTCTTGAATCTAGGGAAAATTGAGACATATGGAATAAATTACTAACCCATTTCTCCTTGAAATCCATTGGATGCTTGATGATTTTTCACATATATTTCTGAATTGAAAAGCTAGTTGCAATTATTTTTATAAGCATATCCTTATGTAATATTTTGTTTTTAACAGTGAATTGAAGGTTTAAAGATTAAATTATTCTTTCCAGAGAATAAAAAGCAATTATTTCACAAGGAGAACATGTGTACGTTGATACGACATTTTAAAGTCTAGATTTTAAAATACGTCCCATATACTTTTGTGTCAATTAGAATATGTTTATATCAGTCTGTCTACAGTTTTACACCTGTCAAAATGTACTTGAACAACAACAACTACCTTGAACAATTTTGAAATTTATGTTTCCTCTGAAACTGATTAAAAGAATTATGGTAGAGTGAAATTCTGATTGACATAATTTGGGAGAGAAATTATTCCTTGGACATCAACCTCTGCCAAGATAGTTTATAATGACGTTGAGGCTTTTTGATTTACAGTTTGTTATATAAAAAATACTAAGACGATGGCAGACAATACACAGACTTTAATTAAAATTGTACTACAATGAAATGTCTAAATAAATTTGAAGGGTACATGGTACATCTAATTGTATGTTTATATATTTTATTTGTGCATTTTTTTCCTACTGTTTCTTTTGCTTTAGTTTGTAAAACTTTCTTATTTTTAAGATAATGTAGCATATACTAAATAAGGAAAAATCAGGAAATAGAAAATGAAGAAGAAAACATTAGCTATTGTCAACCAAATAAAAATTGTGAAATCTCTAAGCACATGAACTATGTAATATTTGTACAGCATAGTACAATGTTTATGCTTCACAGGGTGAGGTAGAGACTGCAAAACCTTGAACTTGGGACAAATAATAATGTAAGGAAATTTTCACAACATATTAATATTATAGAAAATGTTGAACTCAACAGTTAAGATACAAGTAGTGAAAAATGATAGTATTTAAGGAGATCTAGAAAATTTAATCTATACCTGTAATGTGTGAGAAGTATTAGAATAATGCTTGTATTTCTGGATTGGCATCGATTTCTATTGAGACTGGAAACATAATAGAAGTGAGGGAAAAAGAATTTAAATTGTGGATACTTGAATTTTATACCTAGGAGTTCGAGAAATACATTTTGTTACTGTCAAAGCAGTTGGCACAAGAGTGTACAAAATTCCCTAATTATGTCTATGTGGAGAAGACATAGACAAACAGAGAATAGCAAAACAGAAATAGCAAACATCACAAATAAATTTTACCTGTATTTTTAAGTAAAAGCCAATTAGAGAAGGAAAACATGAAATTTGTGTTTTATCAACATTTTTCTCTTTCTCATAATATAGTTGAATATATTACTGGAAAAAATTTGAAGCACTGGTATGTTCACAAATAAAAGTAAAATATAAGATCAAAACCATGGGAATGCAGGTAGCAGACAAAATATAACTAAACACCAAAACTGATTTTGCCCTACGCACATGTAGCAAAATGAATGAGTGCAGATTCCTACTGTCATACATCACATAGGACAGTAAAGAAATACATAGTTTTCCCCAAGATAGGGCATCACACAGGAGCTCCTCCCTAAAGCTAGGACCAAAATTTCTATCCTCAGTATAAAGAAGAATCAGAGGTAAATTAGTCCCATTTCACATTCCCTGGAAATGGCAAATAAAAATGACTTGAGATTGGACAGATTTAAAGAAACTCAATCGTTAATGATTTACAGCAACTAATTTAAAAATTGTTTAAATGTGCAGTCCAAATATACGTCCAAACACCTTTAGGCCAAGAATTAACATAATGTGGTCCCAGAATGGTGGTGCCTTTAGTAGAATCACAAAAAAATTAAATTCTCTTTGGCAAATTTTCTACTTACTAATCCGCAAAAGTGCACAAAAATAATTTTCAGAGAAAAATAAATATTTGTCATTCAAAGGCATCTAAGTATGCAAGGAAATGATATTCCACCATTTGAAAGGAAAGCAGAAAAAGAGTACAAACAGATCCACAAAGGTTCATTAGTAGAAATATCACTGTTAGATTATAAAGCACATTTGCTTTCAAAAAATTTTTTAAAAAATGAATATATTGTTAGGAGACTAAAAATTTCATGTAGCAAATTTGAAAAGTAGTTTGTATAAAATATACTTATTTTAAATTAAAAACTCAAAAATGAACTCATCAGATTAGACATGGCCATGGTGAGAGTTCATAAATATTTCAGAATTCATTACAGAAAATTTTAAAAAATGTAAAATGTGGAGAGAATGATGAAGAGACATGGAAGATACAGTAAGAAACTGTAGCATGTGTTTAGGGAGTGTTCTCATAGAACAAGGGAACTGGGAATGGACAATATGTGATGGTATTTTGGCTGAAAGTTCCCTAGACTTGTAAGACACTAATCTGCATATTCAAGAATTCCATGCATGCTAAGCAAGCTACAATGGAGATAAACCTACACCTATGTATCTCCCAGAGAAATAGTAAACAACCAGGAAGGGAAAAAAATTTCAATTAGCACTAGAAAAATGAAATTACTTTTAATCATATTGAAATCTGAAAGCATGAAAGGTAAAATAAATAATATTATTTGTTAAGAATAATAATACCATTCTGAATTTCCAAACAAAGAAAAATATTCATCAACCTATGGCTAAATAACATATTTAGAGACAAAAAACAAAATGCCACCAGCAGAATTCCACTAAAGAAACTAAAGAGAAACTCTGAAAATATGCTTCAGAAAAGTTGAAGTTCTGAAATCAAAGAATGAACACAGAGTAAAATATATTGTAAACATACATATAGAACAAATAAGAAACTGGGTGTTGAAACAAAAAGATATTTAAAATTAGATAAGCACTGCAATATGTATGATAAAAAGAAAATTATTAGGGCTGAAGTATTCAAAGAACCCTTAATTGTCTGACAAGAGCAGAAAAGTGAGTATGACTTTGCAACTCTTTTTCTTTTTCGAATGGAATGGAAAGGAATGGAATAGAATGGAATGCAATGGAATTGAATGGAATTGAATCGAATGGAATTGAATGGAGAGGAATGGAATGGAATCGGAGATGAGATTGTGCCATTGTGCTACAGGATGGGTGACAGAGTGAGACACTCTTGAAAGAAAGGAATGGAATGGAAAGCAGTGCAATAGAATGGAATGGAATACAATGGAGTGTAGTGGAGTGGAGAGGAGAGGAGTGGAATGCAGTGAAATGGAATCGGATGCAATGGAATGTAGTGGAATGGAATGGAATGGAATCATCATCGAATGGAGTAGAAAGGAATTATCATCGAATGGAATCAAATGGAATCATCATCAAATGGAATCAAATGGAGTCATCATTGAATGGAATCGAAAGGCATCATCATCCAATGGACTTGAATGGAATCATCATCGAATGGAATCAAATGGAATCTTCATAAAATGGAATCGAATGGAGTCATCATTGAATGGAATCAAAAAGCATCATCATCGAATGGACATGAATGGAATCATCATCGAATGGACTCGAAAGGAATCATCATCAAATGAAATCAAATGGAATCATCATTGAATGGAATCAAATGGAATCATCATCAAATGGAATCAAATGGAATCATCATTGAATGGAATCGCATGGAATCATCATCAAATGGAATCGAATGGATTCATCATTGAATGGAATCAAATGGAATCATCAATAAATGTAATCAAATGGAATCATCTAATGGAATCTAAAGGAATCATCATCAAATGGAACTGAATGAAATCATCATTAAATGGAACCAAACGGAGTAATCATCAAATGGAATCGAATGGACTCATAATCGAATGGAATCGAATGGAAACATCATCGAATTGAATCGAATGGAATCATCATTGAATGGAATCAAATGGAATCATCGAATTGAATCGAATGGAAAGATCATCGAATGGAATCGAAGGGAATCATCAAATGGGATCAAATGGAATCATTGAAGGGAATCAAATGGAATCATCGAATGGATTCGGATGGAATCATCAGTGAATGGAATTGAATGGAATCATGGAATGGACTCGAATGGACTCATCATTAAATGGAATCCAAAGGAATCATCGAATGAACATGAATGGAATGATCATTGAATTGAATCGAACGGAATCATCGAATGGCATCGAATGGAATCATCATCGAATGGAATCTAATGGAATCATCGAATGGACTCGAATGGAATAATCGAATGGGCTTGAGTGGAATCATCATCGAATGGAATTGAACGGAATCATCATCAAATGGAATCGAATGGAATCATCATTAAATGGAATCGAATGGAATCACCAAATTGAATCAAATGGAATGATCATCTAAGGCAATCAAAGGGAAACATCAAATGGGATTGAACAGAGTCATCGAATGGAATCGAGAGGAATCATCAAATGGATTCAAACAGAATCATCATCGAATGGAACCGAAAGGAGTCACCATCAAATGGAATCCCATGGAATCATCGAATAGACTCGAATGGAAATATCATTGAATGGACCCGAATGTAATCATCATTGAAAGGACTCGAATGGAATCATCATCGAATGGGCTCAAAAGGAATCATCATCACATGCAATCCAATGATATCATTGAATGGACTCCAATGGAATCATCATCAACTGGAATTGAATGGAATCATCGAACGGACTCAAATGGAATCATCAGAGAATGGAATCGAATGGAATTATTGAATGGACTCGATGGAATCAACTTTGAATGGAATCGAAGGGAATCATCAAATGGAATCGAATGCAATCATCATCGAATGGAATCATCTAATGGAATCAAATGGAATAACCATTGAATGGACTCGAATGGAATCACCATCGATTGGAATCAAATGGAATCATCGAATAGAATAGAAAGGAATCATCATCAAATGTAATCAACTGGAATCACTGAATGGAATCGAATGGAATCATCATCAAAAATAATCGAATAGAATAATCGAATGAAATCAAATACAATCAACATCGCATGGAATCGAATGGAATCATAGAATGACATCGAATGGAATCATCATCAAATGGAATCAAAGAGAATCATCATCAAATGGAATCGAAAGCAATCACTGAATGGACTTGAATAAAATCATCAAATGGATTTGAAGGGAATCCTCATCGAATGGAATAGAATGGAACCATCGAATGGACTCAAATGGAATCATCATTTAATGGAATCAAACGGAATCATCAAATGGACTCGAATGGAATCATCATTGAATGGAATCCAATGGGATCATCATCAAATGGAATCGAATGGAATCATCGAATGGACACGAATGGAATGAACAAATGGACTCAAATGGAAACATCAAATAGAATCGAATGGATTCATTGAAAGGAATCAAATGGAATTATCGAATGGACTCGAATGGAATCATCGAATGGACACGAATGGAATTATCATCAAATGGAATCATCAAATGGACTCGAATGGTATCATTGAATGGACTCGAATGGAATCATCGAATGGACTCAAATGGAATCATCATCAAATGGAATCAAATGGAATCATCAAATTGACTCAAATGGAATCAAACCGAATCGTCATTGAATGGAATCGAATGGAATCATCGAATGGAATTGAAGGCAATCATCATCGAATGGAATCGAATGGAATCATCATCGAATAGAATCGAATAGAATCGAATGGAATCATCGAATGGAATCAAATGGAATTATTGTTGATTGGAATGGAATGGAATCATTGAATGGAATTGAATGGGATTACCAATGAACAGAATCGAATGGAATCATCTTCTAATGGAATCGAAAGGAATCATCGAATGGACTCAAATGGAATCATCATCGAATGGAATCATGTGGAATCGTCGAATGAACTGGAAATGAATCATAATCAAATAGAATCAAAAGGAATCATCATTGAAAGGAATCACATGGAATCATCATCGAATGGAATCATACGGAAACATCACAGAATAGAATTGAATGGAATCATCAATTGGACTCGAATGGAATCATCAAATGGACTCGAAGGGAAGTGTCGAATGGACTCGAACGGAATCATCATCGAATGAAATCAAATGGAATCATTGAAAGGACTCGAATTGAATCATCAAATGGACTCGAAGGGAATCATTATAGAATGGAATCGAATAGAGTCATCGGATGGAATCGAATGGAATCATCATTGAATGGAATTGATTGGAAACATCGAATGCACTCGAATGGAATCATCATCCAGTGGAATTGAATGGAATCATCGAATGGACAACAATGGAATCATCATCAAATGGAATCCATTGGAATCATTGAATGGAATCGAATGGAATTATCGAATGGAGTCGAATGGAATCATCATTGAATTGAATCGAATGGAATCATCGAATGGACTTGAATGGAATCATCATCGAATGGAATCGAATGGAATTGTCGACCGGACACGAATGGAATAATCATCGAATGCAATCGAATGGAGTCATCATCAAATGGAATCGAATGGAATCATCATCTAATGGAATCGAATGGAATCATCGAATGAAATAGAATAGAATCATCATCGAATGGAATCAAATAGAATCATTGAATGAAATCGAATGGAATCATCATCTAATGGAATCAAATGGAATTATCATCGAATGCAATTGAATGGAATCATCATCGAATGGAATCAAATGGAAACATCAACAAATGGAATCCAATGGAATCATCATCGAATAGAAAAAAGTGGAATATCAAAAGGACTCGAATGGACTCATCGAATGGACTCGAATGGAATCATCACTGAATGGAATCGAATGAAATCATCGAAAGGAATCAAATGGAATCATCATCGAGTGAAATCAAATGGAATCATCGAATGGACTTGAATGGAAACATCATCAGATGGAATCGAAAGGAATCATGGAATGCACTCAAATGGAATCATCAAATATACTCATATGGAATCAACATCGAGTGGAATCAAAAGAAATCTTTGAATGGAATTGAATGTAATCATCGAATGGACTCAAACGGAATCATCGTTGAATGGAATCATCATCTAAAGGAATCAAATGGAATCATCAATGAATGGAATCGAATGGAGTCATCAAATGGAATCCATTGGAATCATCAATGAATGGAACCGAGTGCAGTCATCATCGAATGGAATCGAATGGAATCATCAAATGGACTCAAATGGAATCATCGTATGGACACGAATGCAATCATCCTCGAATGGAATCTAATGGAAGCAGTAAATGGAATCCAATGGAATAATCATCGAATTGACCTGAAAGGAATCATCATTGAATGTAATCGCATGGAATCATCATCAACTGGAATTGAATTGAATCATCGAATGGACTCAAATGGAATCATCAGAGAAAGGAATCGAATGGAATTATTGAATGGACTCGAATGGAATCAACTTTGAATGGAATAGAAGGGAATCATCAAATGGAATCGAATGCAATCATCATGGAATGGAATCGAATGGAATCATCTTTGACTGGAATTGAATGAAATCATCGAGTGGACTCGAATGGAATCATCAGAGAATGGAATTGAATGGAATTATGGAATGGACTCTAATGGAATCAACTTTGAAGGGAATCGAAAGGAATCATCGAATGGATTCGATTGCAATCACTGAATGGATTCAAATGCAACCATCAACGAATGGAATTGCATTTAATCATCATCAAATGGAATCGAATGGAATCATCATCAAATGGGATCTAATGGAATCATCGAATGGAATTGAATGGAATCATCTTCGAATGAATTGAATGGAATCATCGAATGGTCGTGAATGGAATCATCATCAAATGGAATTGAATGGAATTATCAAATGGAATCGAATAGAATCATTGAATGGACCCGAATGGAATCATCATTGAATGGAATAGAATGGAATCAGCATCAAATGGAATCCAATGGAATCATCAAATAGATCCGAATGGAATCATCATTGAATGGAATAGAATGGAATCATCATGGAATGGAATTAAATGGAATCATCGAATGGACAGGAATAGAATCATCATCGAATGCAATCAAATGGAATCATCTATTGTACACGAATGGAATCATCATCAAATGGAATAGAATGGAATCATCAAATGGAATCAAATGGAATAATCATCGTATAGAATCGAGTGGAATCATCGAATGGACTCATATATAACCATTGGAAAATGGAATCAAATGGAATCATCGAATGGAATCAAATGGAATAATCATCAAATGGAATCAAATGTAATCATCTAATGGACACGAATGGAATCATCATAGAATGGAATCAAAAGGAATCATTGAATGGACTCGAATGGAATCATCATTGAATAAAATCGAAAACAATCAAATGTATTTGAATGGAATCACCAAATGGACTGAAATGGAATAATCATCGAATGAAATCAAATGGAATCATCGAATGGACTCAAAAGGAATCGTCATCGAATGGAATAGAATGGAATCATCGAGTGGAATGGAATGGAATCATCATCGAATGTATTTGAATGGAACCATCGAATGACTCGAATGGAATCATCATCGAATAGAATTGAATGGAATCATCGAATGGACTCAAATGGAATCATCATCAAATGGAATCTAATGGAATCATCGAATAGAATTGATTGTAGTCATCATCGAATGAAATCCTATTGAATTATCGAATGGACACGAATGGAACCATCATTGAATGGAATCAAGTGGAATCATCGAATAGACTTGATTGGAATCATCATCGAATGGAATGGAATGGAATCATCAAATGGATTTGAATGGAATGATCTAACGGACATGAATGGAATCATCATCGAATGGAATCGAATGGAAACATCGAATGGAAGTGAATGGACTCCTTATTGACAGGAATCAAAGGGAATCATCATTAATGGAATCGAATGGAATCATCGAATTGAATTGAACAGAATTAATCATTGAATAGAATCGAATGGAATCGTCATTGAATGTAATCTAAAGAAATCATCATCGAATGGAATCTAATGGAGTCATCATCTAATGAAATCGAATGGTATCAGCAAGGAATGGAATCGAATGGAGAAATCAAGTGGAATCCATTGGAATCGTCATCGAATGAAACCGAATTCAGTCATCATATAATGGAATTGAATGGAATCAACGAAGGGACTCGAATGGAATCATCATTGAATGGAATCGAACAGAATCGTCGAATGCACTCGAATGAAATCATTGAATGGACTCGCATGGAAACATCATCGAATGGAATCGAATGGTATCATCAAATGGACTCTTAAGGAATCATCATCGAATGGAATTGAATGGAATCAAATGGAATCATCGAATGGACTCTAATGGAATCATATAATTGACTTGAATGGAAACATCATCAAATGGAATCGAATGGAATCATCGAATGAACTCTAATGGAATCATCATCAAATGGAATTGAACGGAATTGAATGGAATCATCGAATGGACTCTAATGGAATCATCATTGAATGGAATCGAATGGAATCATCCAATAGACTCGAATGGAATCATTGAATGGACTAGAATGGTATCATCATCGAATGGAATCGAGTGGAATCCTCAAATGGAATCCAATGGAATCATCAAATGGAATCGAATGGAATCATCATCAAATGGAATCGAATGGAATCATCTCATGGAATCAAACGCAATCATCATCGAATGGAATCCAATGGAATCATCATTGAGTAGAATCAAACATAATCATCAAATAGAAATGAATGGAATCATCGTCAACTTTAATCGAGTGGAATCCTCGAGTGGAATCGAGTGGAATCATTGTTGAATGGAATGGAATGGAATCAATGAATGGAAATGAATGGAATCACCAATAAATGGAATCGAATGGAATCATCATCGAATGGAATTGAAAGGAATAATCGAATGGACTCAAATGGAATCATCATTGAATGGAATCACAAGGAATCATCATCAAATGGAATCATATGGAATCATCATCGAATGGAATTGAATGGAATGAAAAATTGGACTCGAATGGAATCATCAAATGGACTCGAATGGAAGTGTCGAATGGACTCGAATTTAATCATCACAGAAAGGAAGTGATGGAATCATCGAATGCAATCGAATGGAATCATCATCGAACAAAATCGAATGGAATCATCTAATGGACAAAAATGGAATCATCATCAAATAGAATTGAATGGAATCATCGAATGGACTTGAATGGAATCATCATCAAATAGAATCAAATGGAATCATCAAATAGAATCGAATGTAATCTTAATCGAAAGAAATTGCATTGAATCTTCAAATGGACTTGAATGGAGTCATCATCTAATGGAATTGAATGGAATCAAATGGACTCGAATGGAATCATCATCGAATGGAATGGAATCGAATCATCAAATGAAATCAATGGAATCATCATCAAATGAAATAAAATGTAATAATCGAATGGCTCCGAATGGAATCATCATCGAATGGAAACTAATGGAATCATCTAACGGACTCGAATGGAACCATCATCAAATGGAATCCAATGGAAACATCGAATGAACACAAATGGAATCATCACCAAAAGGAATCAAATGTAATCATCATCAAAAGGAATTGAATAGAATCATCATCGAATGGAATTGAATGGAATCGTCGAATGGAAGAGAATGGAATCATCATCAAATGGAATCAAATAGAATCATCTATTGAAATCAAATGGAATCGTCATTGAATGGAATCAAATGGCATCATCATCGAATGGAATCGAAGGTAATCATCATCGAATCGAATCTAATGGAATCATCATTGAAAGGAATCGAATGGATTCATCATCAAATGTAACCGAACAGAGTCATCATCGAATGGAATCGAATGGAATCATCATCAAATGGAATCAAATGGAATCATCATTGAATGGAATCGGATGAAATCATCATCAAATGGAATCGAGTGATAATCATCATCTAAAGGAACGAATTGTAATCATCAAATTTAATCTAATGGAATCACCATTAAATGGACTCAAATGGAATCATCTTCGAATAGAATAGAAAGGAATCATTGAATGGGCTCAAATGGAATCATCATCAAATGCAAACGAATGGAATCATCGAATGGAATCCAATGGAATCATCATCAAATCTATTCAAATGGAATCATTGAATGAAATCGAATGGAACCATCATTGAAGGGACTCGAATGGAATCATCATCAAATGGAATGGAATTGAATGATCGAATGGACTCCAATGGAATCATTATCGAATGGTTTCAAATGGAATCATTGAATGGAATCGAATAGAATCATCATTGAATGGAATTGAAAGGAATCATCGAATTGCATCGAATAGAATCATCATCAAATAGAATCAAATGGAATCATGAAATGGACAAGAATGAATCATTATCGAATGGAGTCGAATGGAGTCATCAAATGGAATCATGATCAAATGGAGAAAATGGAATCATCATCGAATGGAATCGAATGAAATCATCATCAAATTGAATCTAATGGAAACATCATCGAAAGTAATCTAGTGGCATTATCATCTAATGGAATCTAATGGAATCATCAATGAATGGAATCGAATGGAGTCATCAAATGGAATCCGCTGGAATCATCATTGAATGGAACCGAATGCAGTCATCATCGAATGGAATCGAACGCAATCATCGAATGGACTCGAATGGAATTATCATCTAATGAAATAGAATGTAATCATCGAATGGAATCGAATGGAATCATCATTGATTGGAATCTAATGTAATCGTCTTCGAATGGAATCGAATGGAATCATCATCAAATTTTATCTAATATAATCATCATCTAATGGAATCGAATTGGAATCATCAACCAATTTATTCAAATGGAATGATTGAATGGTCTCGAATGGAATCATTGAATGGAAACGAATGGAATCATCAATTGGACTCAAATGGAATTATCGAATGGGCTTGAATGGAATCATTGAATGAACTTGAATGGAATCATTATCGAATGGAATGGAATGGAATCATCAAATGGAATCGAATGGCATCACCGAATGGAATTGATCAGCATCATCATCTCATGGTATCAAATGGAATCATAGAATGAAATCGAATGGAATCATCATCGAATGGAGTCAAATGGAATCATCATCGAATGGAATCTAATGGAATCATCAACGAAGGGAATGGAATAGAATCATCATCGAATGGAATCGAATGGAATTATCAACAAATGGAATCGAATGGAATCATCGAATGGAATACAATGGAATCATCAACAAATGACATCGAATGGAATCATTGAATGAACTCGAATGGAATCATCATCGAATGGACTCGATTGGAATCACCATTGAATGAAATCGAATGGTGTCATCGAATGTACTTAAATGGAATCATCAAATGGACTTGAATGGAATCATCGAATGGAATCGAATGGAATCATCATCGAATGGAATCTTATGGAATCATTGAATGGACTCGAATGGAATCATCATCCAATGAAATCAAAGGTAATCATTGAATGAAGTCGAATGGAATCATCATCGAATGGAATCAAATGGAATCTTCGAATGGAATCATCAATGAATGGAATCAAATGGAATCATCGAATGGCATCTAATGGAATCATCATCAAATGAAATCAAATGTAATCATCTAATGTACTTGAATGTAATCATCATCGAATGCAATCAGATGGAATCATCAAATGTACAAGAATGGAATCATCATTGAATGGAATCGAATTGTATCATCGTTGAATGGAATCGAATGGAATCATCAAATGGAATCGAATGTAATCATCGAATGGCATCGAATGGAATCATCCAATGGAATAGAATGGAATCATCATCGAATGGAAACGAGTAGAATCATCGAATGAAATTGAATGGAATCATCATCTAGTGGGGTCGAATGGAATCATCATCGATTGGAATCTAATGGAATCATCAATGAATGGAATTGAATGGAACCATCATCAAATGTAATTGAACGGAATCATCAATGAATGGAATCAATTGGAATTATTGAATGGAATCCAATGGAATCATAATCAAATGTAACCGAATGGAATCATCATCAAATGGAATCAAATGGAATCATCATCAAATGGAATCAAATGGAATGATCGAATGAACACGAACGAAATCATCATTGAATGTCATCGAATGGAATCATCGAATGTCATCGAATGGAATCATCATTGAATGAAATCAAATGGAATCATCGAATGGACTCGAATGCAATCATCATCGAATGGAATCAAATGCAATCATTGAATGGACTCGAATGGAATCATCATCGAATGGAATTGAATGGAATCATCGGATGGCATTGACTGAAATCATCATCAAATGGAATCATCGAATGGAATCGAATGGAATCATCATCAAATGAAATTGAATGGAATCATGGAATGGCATCGAATGGAATCATCATCCAATGGAATCAAATGGAGTGATCTAACAGACACGTATGGAATCATCATTGAATGGAATTGAGTGGAATCATCGAATGGACATGAATGGAATCATCATTGAATGGAATCAAAAGGAATCATCATCAAATGGATTCAAATAGAAACATAATATAATGGAATTGAATGGAATCATCGAATGGAATAGAATGGAATCATCATTGAATGGGATCAAATAGAATCATTGGATAAAAGTGAATGGAATAATCATCTAATGGAATCGAATGGAATCATCATCGAATGGAATAGAATGGAATCATCATCAAACAGAATTAAATAGAATCACCGAAAAAAATTGAATGCAATCATCATCGAATGGAAACGAATGGAATCATCATCGAATGGAATCGAATGGAATAATCATTGAATGGAATCAAATAGAATCTTCAACAAGTGGAATTGCATGGAATCCTCGAATGGAATCTAATGGAATCATTAGCACATGGAAACGAATGGAATCATCATGGAGTGGAATCGAATGGAATCAACATAGAATGGAATCCAAAGGGATCACAGAATTGAATGGAATGATCATCGAATGGAATCGAAGGGAATCATCGAATGGGATGGAACAGAGTCATTGAACGGAATTGAATGGAATCATCGAAAGGTTTCGAATTGAATCATCATCGCATGGAATAGAAAGGAATCATTGAATGGACTCGAATGGAATCATCATCGAATGGAATCGAATGGAAACATCGAATGGACATGAATTAAATCATCATTGAGTGGAATCGAATGGTATCATCGAATGGACTCGAATGGAAACATCATTCTATGGAATCAGATGGAACCATTGATTGGCATCGAATTGAATCATCAGTGAACGGAATCTAAGGGATTAATCGAATGGAACCAAATGGAATTACAGAATGGACTCGAGTGGAATCATTATCGAATGGAATTGAATGGAATCATCGAATGGACACTAATGGAATCATCTTCGAATGGAATCGAATGGAATCATCAAATGGACTCGAATGGAATCATCATCAAATGCAATCTAATGGAATCATCGAATGGACCTGAATGGAATCATCATCAAATGGAATCGAAAGGAATCATTGAAGGGAATCGAATGGAATCATCATCGAATGGAATGGAATGGAATCATCGAATGGACTCAAATGGAATAATCACCGAATGGAATTGAATGGAATCTTCGAATGGACTCAATTGAAATCATCATTGAATGCAGTCGAATGGAATCATCATTGAAGGGAATTGAATGGAATCATCATCAAAAGGAATGGAATGGAATCATCCAATGGAGTAGAATTGAATCATCATTGATTGGAATCGAATGGAATCATCGAATGAAATCGAATGGAATCATCATCCAATGGAATCGAATGGAATCATCATTGAATGGAATCAAATGGAATCATCATCGAATGGAATCGAATGGAATCATTGAGTGGACTCGAATGGAATCATCATCAAATGAAATCGAATGTAATCATCGAATGGCATCAAATAGAATCATCAATGAATGGAATCTAAGGGAAAAATTGAATGGAATTGAAAGGAATCATCAAATAGACTCGAATGGAATCATCATCGAATGGCATCAAATGGAATCTTCGAATGCACTCGAATGGAATCATCATTGAATGCAATTGAATGGAATCATCATCGAATGGAATCTAATGGAATCATCATCGAATGGAATTGATTAGAATCATCCAATGTAATAGAAATGAATCATCATCAAATGGAATTGAATAGAATCATTGAATGAAATTGAATGGAATCGAATGGAATCATCAACGAATGCAATCGAATGGAGAAATCGAATGGAATCCAATTTAATCATCATCGAATTGAACCCAATGGAATCATCAAATGGACTCGAATGGAATCATCATCGAATGGAATAGAATGGAATCATTGAATGCAATTCAATGGAATCATCATCGAATGAAATCAAATGGAACCATTGAATGGACACGAATGGAATCATCATCAAATGGAATCGAATGGAATCTTCGAATTGACTCGAATGGAATCATCATCGAATGGAATTGAAAGGAATCATCAAATGGACTTCAATGGAATCATTGAATGGACTTGAATGGAATCATCATCGGACGGAATCGAACGGAATCATTGAATGGACACGAATGGAATCATCATCGAATGGAATCAAGTGGAATCATCGAATGGAATCGAATGGAATTGTCATCAAATGGAATGGAATGGAATCATCATCATCGAAGGGAATCTAATGGCATCATCATCTAATGGAATCTAATGGAATCATCAATGAAATGAATCAAATGGAGAAATCGAATGGAATCCGTTGGAATCATCATCGAATGGAACCGAATGCAGTCGTCATCGAATGGAATCTGATGGAATCATCATCGATTGGAATCGAATGAATCATCATCGAATGGAATCAAAAGGAATCATCATGGAATAAAATCGAATGGAATCATTGAATGGAATGGAATGGAATCATCAACAAAAGGAGTCAAAGGGAATCATAGAATGGAATTGAGCAGAATCATCGAATGGAATCGAATGAAATCATCATTGAATGGACTCGAATTGAATTATCATCGAATGGAATTGAATGGAATCATCAAATGGACTTGAATGGAATAATTGAATGGACTCCAGTGGAATCATCAAATGGAATCGAATGGAATCAACGAATGGACTCGCATGGAATCATCATCAAATGGAATCAGATGGAATCAATGAAGGGACTCGAATGGAATCTTCGAATGGACTCAAGTGGAATCGTCATCAAATGGAATCGAATGTAATCGTAGAATGGACTCGAATGGAATAATCATTGAATGGAATCAAATGGAATCACTGAATGGAGTCGAATGGAATCATCATCAAATGGAATCAAAGGGAACCATTGAATGCACTCCAACGGAATCATCATCGAATGGAATCAAATGGAATCATTGAATGGACTAGAAAGGAATCATCATCAAATGAAATTGAGTGGAATCACCGAATGGACAAGAATGGAATCATCATCGAATTCACTCGAATGGAATCATCGAATTCACTCGAATGGAATCATCATGGAACAGAATTGAAAGCAATAATTGAATGGATTCTAATGGAATTCTTGAATGGGCTCAAATGGAATCATTGAATGGACCCAAATGGAATCATCATCGAACGGACTCTAACAGAATGATCGAATGCTCTCTAATGGAATCATCATTGAATGGAAAAGAATGGAATCATCAAATGGACATGAATGGAAACATCATCGAATTGAATCATATGGAATCATCAAAAGGAATCGAATGGAATCATCAAATTGAATCGAATGGAATCATCAAATGAAATCGAATGGAATCACCAACGAATTGAATCGAATGGCATCATGGAATGGAATTGAAAGGAGTCATCTGCAAGTTAAATCTAAAGGAATCACCGAATGGACTCCAATAGAATAATCATCGAATAGAATCCAGTGGAATCATTGAATGTACTTGAATGGAATAATCGAATGGACCCGAATGGAATCATCATCAAATGGAATCGAATGGAATCATCAAATGGAATCGAATGGAATCACCATTGAATGGAATCAAAAGGAATCATTGAATGGACTTGAGTGGAATCATCATCAAAAGGAATAGAATGGAATCATCATCGAATTGAATCTAATGGAATCACCATGGAATGGAATCGAATGGAATCATCGAATGGACTCGAATGGAATCGTCCTCGAATGGAATCAAATGGAATAATCAAATGGACTTGAATGGAATCATCGTCGTATGAAACCAAATGGTATCATTGAATGCAACAGAATGGAATCACTGAAAGGATTCGAATGGAATCATCATCGAATGGAATTGAATGGAATCATTGAAGGCACTCGAAAGGAATCATTGAATGGACTCGAAAGGAATCATCATCAAGTGGAATCGAATGGAATCATCGAACGGACTCAAAAGGAATCTTTGAATGGACTCGAATGAAATCATCATTGAATGGAAACTAATGGAATCATCGAATGGACTCGAATGGAGTCCTCATTGATTGTAATCACAGGGACTCACTGAATGGACTCGAATGGAAACATCGAATGGCCTCAAATTGAATCATCATTAAATGGAATCGAATGGAATTATCGAATGGACTCGAATGGAATCATCGAATGGACTCGAAAGCAATCATCATCGAGTGGAAACGAATGAAATCATCAAATGGACTTAAATGCAATCACCGAATGGCCTCGAATGAAATTATCATCGAATAGAATCGAATGGAATCATCACATCGACTCGAATGGAATCATCTTCGAATGGAATGGAATGGAATCATTTAATGGAATCGCATGGAATTGTCATCAAGTGGAATTGAAAGGAATAATTGAATGGACTCGAAGGGAATCATCGAATGGACTCAAATAGAATCATCATCGAGTGGAATCGAATAGAATCATCGAATGGACTCGAACGGAATCATCATCGAATGGAATCAAATGAAATTCTCATCAGATGGAATAGAATGGAATCATCACTGAATGGAATCGAATGGAATCATTGAAGGGAAGGAGATGGAATCATCATCGAATGGAATCAAATAGAAGCATCGAATGAAATTGAAAGGAATCATCATCAAACGGACTTGAATGGAATCATCATCAAATGGAGTAGAATGGAATCATCATTTAATGGAATCCAAGAGAATCATCATCGAATGGAATCGAATGGAAACATCATCGAATTGAATCAAATGGAATCATCATGGAATTGAATCAAATGGCTCATCATCAAATGGAATCGAATGGAATCATTGAATGGAATTGAATGGAATCATCATTGAATGGAATCTTCGAATGGAATCGAATGGAATCATCATCGAATGAAACCGAATGGAATCATCAAATGCAACAGAATGGAATCACTGAATGGATTCGAATGGAATCATCATCGAATGGAATTGAATGGAATCGTTGAAGGCACTCGAAAGGAATCATCGAATGGACTCGAAAGGAATCATCATCAAGTGGAATCGAATGGAATCATTGAACAGACTCGAAAGGAACCTTTGAATGGACTCGAATGGAATCATCATCGAATGGAACCTAATGGAATCATCGAATGGACTCGAATGGAGTCCTCATCGGTTGTAATCACAGGGAATCACTGAATGGACTCGAATGGAAACGTCGAATGGCCTCAAATTGAATCATCATTAAATGGAATCGAATGGAATTATCAAATGGACTCGAATGGAATCATCGAATGGACTCGAATGCAATCATCGAATGGCCTTGAATGAAATTATCATCTAATAGAATCGAATGGAATCATCACATGGACTCGAATGGAATCATCATCGAATGGAATGGAATGGAATCATCTAATGGAATTGAATGGAACAATCATCAAGTGGAATTGAAAGGAATAATTGAATGGACTCGAATGGAATCATCCAATGGACTCAAATAGAATCATCATCGAGTGGAATCGAATAGAATCATCGAATGGACTCAAATGGAATCATCATCGAATGGAATCAAATGAAATCCTCATCAGATGGAATAGAATGGAATCATCACTGAATGGAATCATTGAAGGGAATGAGACGGAATCATCATCAAATGGAATCAAATGAAATCCTCATCAGATGGAATAGAAAGGAATCATCACTGAATGGAATCATTGAAGGGAATGAGATGGAATCATCATCAAATGGAATCAAATAGTAGCATTGAATGAAATCGAATGGAATCATCATCAAATGGATTCGAATGGAGTCATCGTCTAATGGAATCCAAAGGAATCATCATAGAATGGAATCAAATGGAAACATCATCGAATTGAATCAAATGGAATCATCATGGAATTGAATCGAATGACTCATCATCAAATGGAATCGAACGGAATCATCGAATGGAATCAAATGGAATCATCATCGAATGGAATCTTCGAATGGAATTGAATGGAACCATTGAATGAAATCGAATGGAATCATCATTGAATGGAGTCGAATGGAAATATCATCACATGGAATCTAATGTAATCATCAACGAAGGGAATCGAAAGGAATCATCATCGAACGGAATCGAATGGAATCATCAAAAGGAATAGAATCGAATCATCAAATGGACTCAAACGGAATCATTATAGAATGGAATCGAATAGATTCTTCGGATGGACTCGAATGGAATCATCATCGAATGGAATTGATTGGAATCATCGAATGCACTCAAATGGAATCATCATCGAACGGAATTAAATGGAATCATCGAATGGACTCGAATGGAATCATCATCAAATGGTATCCACTGGAATCATCGAATGGAATGGAATGGAATTATCGGATGGAATCAAATGGAATCATCTTTGAATGAAATCATATGGAATCATCGAATGGAATCGAATGCAATCATCATCGAATGGAATCGAATGGAATCTTCTAATGGACACAAATAGAATCATCATCAAATGGAATCGAATGGAATCATCTAATGTACTCGAATGGAATCATCATCCAATGGAATAGTATGGAATCATCGAATTGATTTGAATGTAGTCATCATCGTATGGAATCAAGTGGAATCATTGAATGGACTTGAAAGTAATCATCGCAGAATGGAATAGAATGGAATCATGGAATGAACTCGAATGGAAACCTCATGGGGTGGAATCGAATGGAATCATCTAATGGACCCGAATGGAATCATCATCAAATGGAATCGAATGGAATCATTGAATGCACTCGAATAGAATCGTCATCGAATATAACTGAAAGCAATCATCAAATGGATTTGAATAGAATCATCAAATGGCTCTAATGGAATCATCATCGAATGGAATCAAATGGAATCATCGAATGGACTCGAATGGAATTGTCATCCAATGTAATTGAATGTAATTGTCGAATGGATTCAAATGGAATCATCATCGAATGGAATCAAATGGAATCACTGAATGGACTCGAAAGGAATCATCATCGAATGAAATCAAGGGGAATCATTGAATGCACTCGAATGTAATCATCATTGAATAAAATCGAATGGAATCATTGAATGGACTCTGAAGGAATCATCATCGAATGAAATTGAGTGGAATCACCGAATGAACACGAATGGAATCATCATTGAATGAAATAGAATGTAATCATCGAATGAACTCTAATGGAATCATCATCGAATAGAATTGAAAGCAATCATCAATTGGATTCAAATGGAATTATCGAATGGACTCGAATGGAATCATCGAATGGACTCGAATGGAATCATCATTGAACAGACTCTAACGGAATGATCAAATGGAATCTAATGGAATCCTTGAATGGAAACAAATGGAATCATCGATTGGACTCCAAAGGAATTATTGAATGGGCTCGAATGGAATCATTGAATGGACTCGAATGGAATCATTATCAAGTGGAATCAAATGGAACCATCTAATGGAATTGATCAGAATCATCATCGAATGGAATCAAATTGAATCATTGAATGGAATTGAATGCAAATATCATCAAATGGAATCGAATGGAATCATCATTGAATAGAATTGAATGGAATCATCGAATGGAATCAAATGGAATCATTGTCGAATGGAATGGAATGGAATCATTTAATGGAATTGAATGCAATAGCCAATGAATGGAATCGAATGGAATCATCATTGAATGGAATTGAATGGAATCATCAAATGGACTCCATTGGAATCATCAACGAATGGAATCATGTGGAATCATTGAATACACTTGAAATGAATCATGATCTAATGGAATTCAAAGGAATCATCATTGAATGGAATCACATGGAATCATCATTGAATGGAATCATATGGAATCATTATAGAATAGAATTGAATGGAATCATCATTTGGACTCGAATGGAATCATCAAATGGACTCATAGGGAAGCGTCGAATGGACTCGAACTGAATCATCATCGAATGGAATCGAATGGAATCATCAAAAGGACTAGAATTGAATCCTCATATAGACTCGAATGGAATCATTATAAAATGGAATCGAATAGAGTCATCGGATGGACTTGAATGGAATCATCATTGAATGGAATCGATTGGAATCATCGAATGGAATTGAATGGCATCATTGAATGGACTCGAATGGAATCATCATCAAATGAATTCCATTGGAATCATCAGATGGAATCGAATGGAATTATCGAATGGAATCGAATGGAATCATCTTGGAATGGGAATCGAATGGAATCATCGAATGGAATCGAATGCAATCATCATTGAATGGAATCGAATGGAATCATCGAATGGAATCGAAATTAATCACTATTGAATGGACTCAAATGGAATCATCATCAAATAGAATCAGAAGGAATCATTGAATGGACTCGAATGGAATCATCATCGAATAGAATTGAATGGAATCATAGAAAGGAATCGAATGGAATCATCATCAAATGTAATTAAATGGAATCTTCAAAAGGAATCGAATGGAATCATGATCAAATGGAAACGAATAGAATCAGCGAATGAAATCAAATGGAATCAACATCGAATTGAATTGACTGGAATCATAGAAGAGTATCGAATGGAATCATTGAATGGAATCGAATGGAATCATTATCGAATGGAATTGAAGGCAATCATTGAATGGACTCAAATAGAAATATCAAATGGACATCAATGGAATCATCATTGAATGGAGTAGAATGGAATCTTCTAATGGACACGAATGGAATCATCATTGAATGGAATAGAATGGAATCACCATCGAATGGAATCCAATGGAATCATCAAATGGATCTGAATGGAATCATCATCGAATTGAATAGAATGTAGTCATCATCGAATGGAATCATCGTATGGAATCAAGTGGAGTCATCGAATGGGCTCGAATGGAATCATCATCGAATGGAATCGAATGGAATCATCTAATGGACCCGAATGGAATCATCATCGAATGGAATTGAATGGAATCATCGAATGGATTCGAATGGAATCATCATCAAATGTAATTGAAAACAATCATCAAAAGGATTCGAATGGAATCATCGAATGGACACAAATGGAATCATCATCGAATGGAATCAAATGGAATCATCGAATGGAATCGAATGGAACCATCATCAAATGGAATCAAATGGTATAATTGAATGCACACGAATGGAATCATCAAGGAATGGTATCGAATGGTATCATCAAATGGAATCTAATGGAATCATTATCGAATGAAATCAAAAGGAATTATTCAAATGGAATCATCATCAAATAGAATTGAATGGAATCATCGAATGGACTCGAATGGAATATCATCAAATGGAATCAAATGGAATGATCGAATAAAATCTAATGTAATCGTCATCGACTGAAATCACATTGAATTATCGAATGGGCTCGAATGGAATCATCATCGAATGGAATCGAATTGAATCGTCATCGAATGGACACGAATGGAATCATTATCGAATGGAATCGAATGGAATCATCAACAAATGGAATCGAATAGAATCATCATAGAATGGCATTGAATGGAATCATCAAATGGAATAGAATAGAATCATCTTCGAATGGAAAAAAATAGAATCATCGAATGAAATCAAATGCAATAATCATCGAATAGAATCGAATGGAATCATCATCAAATGGAATTGAATAGAATCATCATCAAATGGAATGGAATGGAATGGTATCATCGAATGGACTCGATGGAAGTAATCATCAAATGCAATCGAATGGAATCATCATCGAATGGAATCGAATGGAATCATCCAATGGAATAGCATTAATCATCACCGAATGGAATCTAATAGAATTATCAAATGCAATCCAATGGAACCATCATCGAATGGAATCGAATGGAATCATCATCAAATGGAATCGAGTGAAAACATCATCACATGGAATCAAGTGAAGTCATCATCGAATGGAATCGAATGGAACCATCCAATGTAATATAATTGAATAATCATCAAATGGAATCAAATAGAATCATCAAATGAAATCGAATGGAACCATCATTGAATGGAATCAAATGGAATCATCATCGAATGGAATAGAATGGAATCATAGAATGGAATCCAATGTAATCATCATCAAAATGAACCCAATGGAATCATTAAATGGCCTTGAATGGAATCATCGTATGGATGTGAATAGAATCATCATCGAATGGAATAGAATGGAATCATCGAATGCAATCGAATGGAATTATCATCGAATGGACTCGAATGGAATCATCATCCAATGGAATCAAATGGAATTGATATCGAATGCAATTGAATGGAAAAACCATCGAATTGAATCGAATGGAATCATCATGTAATTGAAATGAATGGACTCATCATCGAGTGGATTCGAATAGAATCAATGAATGGAATTGTTTGGAATCCTCATCGAATGGAATCGAATGGAATCATTGAAAACAATCGAATGAAATCATCACTGAATGGAATCGAATGGAATCATCAAATGGATTCGAATGCAATCATTGACTGGGCTTGAATGGAATCATCAAGGAATGGGATGGAATGAAATCATCGAATGGACTCGAATGGAATCATCATCGAATGAAATCAGATGGAATCATTGAATGGCCTTGAATGGAATCATCGAATGGACTCGAATGGAATCATCATTGAATGGAATTGAATGGAATCACGAATGGTCTCGAATGAAATCATCATCGAATGGAATCGAATGGAATCATCAAGTGAAATCGAATGGAATCATCATCGAACGGAACCGAATAGAATCGGTATCCAATAGAATTGAATGCAATCATCATCCAATGGAATCGAATGGAATTTTCTTCAAATGGAATCAAATGGAATCATCATCGAAGATAATCGAGTGGGATCATCGAATGAAATCGAATGGAATCACCATCAAAAGAATAGAAGTAAAACAAAGAATGGAATATAAAGGAATCATCGAATGGAATCAAATGGAATCACTATCAAAAAGAATTGAAGTAAAACAAAGAATGGAATAGAAAGGAATCATCAAAAGAAATCGAATGGAATCATCATTGAATGGACAAGAATGGAGTCATCATCGAATGGAATCATTCAATGGACTCGAATGGAATAATCATTGAATTGAATTGAATGGAATCATCTAATGGTCTCGAATGGAATCATCATGGAATTGAATCGAATGGACTCTTTGAGTGAAATCGAATGGAATCATCATTGAATGGAACCGAATAGAATCGGCATTGAATAGAATCAAATGTAATCATCATCCAATGGAATCGAATGGAATTTTTTTCAAATGGAATCGAATGGAATCATCATCGAAGAGAATCGAATGGGATCATCGAATGAAATCGAATGGAATCATCATCCAAAGAATCGAAGTAAAACAAAGAATGGAATACAAAGGAACCATCGAATGGAATTGAATGGAATCACCATCAAAAAGAATCAAAGTAAAACAAAGAATATAATACAAAGGAATCATCGAATGGAATCTAATGGAATCATCATTGAATGGACTCGAATGGAGTCATCATCGAATGGAATCGAGTGGAATCATTTAATGGACTCCAATGGAATCATCGAATGGACTTGAATGGAATCATTGAATGGAATCGAATTTAATTATCATTGAATGAAATCAATTGGAATCAGCGAATGGACTCGAAAGGAATCATTGAATGGAATCGAATTTAAATATCATCGAATGAAATCAAATGGAATCATCGAATGGACTCGAATGGAATCATCATCAAATGGAGTCGAATGAAATCATGGAATACACTCAAATTTAGTCATCAAATGGACTCAAATGGAATCAACATCGAGTGGAATCGAAAGAAAACATCGAATGGACTTGAATGGAATCATCGAATGGACTCGAATGGAATCATCATCGAATGTAATTGAATGGAATCATTGAATGGACACGAATGGAATCATCATCAAATGGAATCAAGTGGAATCAGCGAATGGAATCGAATGGAATCATCATTGAATGGAATGGAATGAAATCATCAATGAATGGAATTGAATGGAGTCATCGAATGGAGTCCGTTGGAATCATCATCGAATGGAACTGAATGCAGTCATCATTGAATGGAATCAAATGGAATTATCGAATGGACTCATTAGAATCATCATTGCATGGAATCGAATGGAATCATCGAATGGACTTGAATGCAATCATCAAACGGACTCGAATGGAAACATCATCGAATGGAATCAAAAGGAATCATCGAATTGAATCAAATGGAATTATCATAGAGTGGAATCGAATAGAATCATCGAATGGACTCGAATGGCATCATCATCGAATGGAATTGAATGGAAACATCTAATGGCATCGCATGGAAGCATCATTGAATGGAATCGAATGGAAACATCGAATGGCCTGGAATGGAATCATCATCGATTGGAATCGAATGAAATCATTGAATGGAATCGAATGGAATGATCATTGAATGGTATCGAATGGAATCCTCGAATGTAATCAAATGGAATCATCAAATGGAATTGAACAGAATCATCATTGAATGGAATCAAATGGAATCATTGAATGGAATCAAAGGGAATCATCGAATGGAATTGAAGGGAATCATTGTCAATTGGAATCGAGTGGAATCATCAAATGGAATCGAATGGAATCATTGTCGAATGGCATGGAATGGAATTAATGAATGTAATTGAATGGAATCACCAATGAATTGAATGAAATGGAATCATCATCGAATGCAATCAAATGGAATGAACGAATGCACTCGGATGGAATCATTATTGAATGGAATCATGTGAAATCATCTAATGGGTACGAATAGAAACATCATCAAATGGAATTGAATGGAATCATCTAATGTACTCGAATGGAATCATCATTGAATGGAATAGAATGGAATCATCTAATGGAATCAAAAGAATCTACATTGTATGGAATCGAGTGGCATCATCGAATGGACTCGAATGTAATCATCGGAGAATGGAAGCAACCAGAATCATCAAATGGACTCGAATGGAATCATCATCGAATGGAATCGAATGGAATCATCGAATGGACTCGAATGGAATAATCATCAAATATCAAAAGCAATCATCAAATGGATTCGAATAGAATCATTGAATGGATTCGAATGCAATCATCACCGAATGGAATCAAATGGAATCATCGAATGGACTCGAATGAAATCATGATCGAATGGAATCAAATGGAAGCATCGAATGGACTCGAATGAAATCATCATCAAATGGAATCGAGTGGAGTCATCAAATGGAATCGAATGAAATCATCATCAAATGGAATCAAATGGAATCATCGACTGGACTCAAATGAAATCATCATCGAATGGAATCGAATGGAATCATCAAATGGAATCGAATGAAATCATCATTAAATGGAATCGAATGGAATCACTGAACGGACTCGAATGGAATTGTCATCAAATGGAATTGAATGGAGTAATCTAATGCACTCAAAAGGAATCATCGTTGAATGAAATCGAAATGAATCAATGGACACGAATGGAATCATCATCGAATAGAATCGAATGGAATCATCAAATGGAATAGAATGCACACATTATTGAATGGAATCGAATGGAATCATCATTGAATAGAATCGAATGGAATCATTGAATGGAATCATCATCAAATGGAGTCCAATGGAATCATCAAATGGACTCAAATGGAATGATCATAGAATGGAATTGAATGGAATCATCTAATGGAATCATGATCAAATGGAATCGAATGGTATCATCAAATGCACTTGAATGGAATCATCAACGAATGGTATCGAATGGTATCATCAAATGGACTCGAATGGAAAAATCTTCAATTGGCATCAAAAGGAATCACCGAATGGACTCGAATGGAATAATCTTCGAAAGGAATAGAATGGAATCATCGAATGGACTGGAATGGAATCATCATCGTACGGAATCGAATGGAATCATTGAATGGAATTGAATGGAATCATCATCAAATGGAATCCAAAGGAATAATCATCGAATGGAACCGAATGGAATCATCTTCGAATGGAAGCGAAAGGAGTCGTCATCAAATGGAATTGCATGGAATCATCATCGAATGGAATCAAATGGAATCATTATCAAATGGCATCTAATGGAATCATCGAATGGAATTGAATGGAATCATCAAATGAAATGAATGGAATCATCGAATGGTCTCGAATGGAATCATTATCAAATGGAATCGAAAGGAATCACCGAATAGAATCAAATGGAATAATCATCAAATGGACTCAAATGGAATAATCATCATATGGAATTGAACGGAATTAATGGATGGAATTAAATAGAATCATTGAATGGAGTCAAAAGGAATCATTCAATGGACTCGAATGGAATCATCATTGAATGGTATCGAATGGAAACATTGAATGGACATGATTGGAATAATCATCGAATGGAATCAAATAGAATCATCATTGGATGGAAATGAATGGAATCATCATCAAATGGAATCGAATGGAATCATCAAATGGTGTCAGATGGAATCATCATCGAATGGAATCAAATAGAATCATTGAATGAAATCGATTGGAATCATCATCAAATGGACTCCAATGGAATCATCATCGAATGGACTCGAATGGAATAATCATCCAGTGGAATCCAATGGAATCAATATCCAATGGAATTGAATGGAAACACCATCGAATTGAATCGAATGGAATCATCATCAAATTGAAACGAATGGACTCATCATCGAATGGATTCAAATGGAATCATCAAATGTAATTGTTTGGAATCATCATTGAATGGAATCAAAAGGAATCATTGAATGGAATCGAATGGAATCATCATCGAATGGAAACGAATGGAATTATCATAGAATGGAATTGAATGGATTCATCGAATGGAATCAGATGGAATCATCATTGAAATGAATCGAATAGAATCATCGAATGTAATCGAATTGAATCATCATCAAACGGACACAAATGAAATCATCATCGAATGGACTCAAATGAAATCATCATCCAATGGAATCAAAAGGAATATTCGAATGGGCATGAATGCAATCATCATTGAAAGGAATAGAATGTAATCACTGAATGGTATCGAGTGGAATCATCATCGAATGGAATCTAATGGAATAATCGAATGGACTCCAATTGAATCATCGTATGGAGTCGAATGGAATCATTGAATGGAATCGAATGGAAACACTGAATGGACTCGAATGAAATCATCATCAAATGGAATCGAATGGAGACATCGATTGGACTCGAATGGAATAATCATAGAACGGAATCGAATGGAATCACTGAATGGACTCGAATGGAATCATCATCAAATGGAATAGAATGGAATCATCTAATAGACACCTAAGAAATCATCATTGAATGAAATCGAATGGAATCACGGAATGGAGTCGAATGGAATATCATCAAATGGAATCAAAAGAAATCATCGAATGGACTCAAATGGAATAATTGAATGGACTCGAATGGAATCATGGATTGGACTCAAATGGAAATATCAAATGGGCTCGAATGTAATCATCGAATGGACTCGAAAGGAATCATTATCGAATTGAATCAGTTGGAATCATCAAATGAAATCGAATGGAATCATCGAATGGAATTGAATGGAATCATCATCGAATGGAATCAAATGGAATCATCGAATGGAATCCAATGCAGTCATCATCAAATGGACTCGAATGGAAACATCATCGAATGGAATCCAACAGAATCATCGAATGGCATCGAATTGAATCATCATTGAATGGAATCTAACGGAATAATGGTATGGACTCTAATGGAATCATCTAATGCAGTCGAATGGAATCATCATCGAATATAATCTAATGGAATCATTGAATAGTGTCGAATGGAAACATCGTCGAATGCAGTCGAATGGAATCATCGAATGGACTGGAACGGAATCGTGATGAAATGTAATCAAATGGAAACTTCGAATGGACACGAATGGAATCATCATTAAATGCAATTGAATGGAATCATCATCCAATGGAATCGAATGAAATCGTCATCGAATGGAATCGAATAGAATCATCCAATGGAATAGAATTGATTCGTCATCGAAAGGAATCGAATAGAATTATTGAATGAAATCGAATGGAATCATCATTGAGTGGAATTGATTGGAATCATGAACGAATGGAATCGAATGGAATTGTAGAATGGAATCCAATGTAATCATCATCGAATTGAACCCAATGGAATCATTAAATGGACTTGAATGGAATCATCGAATTGACTCGAATGGAATCAACATCGAATGGAATCAAATGCAATCATCATATGGACTCGAATGGAATCATCATTGAATGGAATCGAATGGAATCATTGAATGGACAAGAATGGAATCATCATTGAATGGACTCTAATGGAATCATCATGGAATGGAATCAAATGGAATCATCATTGAATGGAATCAAACGGAAACATCATCAAATGCAATCGAATTGAATCATCATCGAATGGAATCAAAATGACTCATCATCGAACAGAATCAAATGGAATAATCATCGAATGGAATGGAATGGAATCATCCAGTGAAATAGAATGGAATCAACGTCGAACGTAATAAAAAAAATCAAAATTAATTGAATAGAATCATCTTTGAATGGAATCCTCATCGAATGGAAACTAATAGAATCATCATCAAATGGAATCGAATGGAATCCTCAGGGAATGGGATCTAAAGGAATCATCATCGAGTGGAATTGAATGGAGTAATCATCTAATGGAATTGAATGGAATCATGGAATGGACTCGAATGTAATCATCATCTAATGGAATAGAACGGAATAAGCGAATGGACTCGAAAGGAATCATCATCGAATGGAATCGAATGGAATTATCAAATGGAATCAAATGAAATCATCGAATGGAATTGAATGGAATCATCAAATGGAATCGAATGGAATTATCGAATGGAGTCGAATGAAATCATCAAATGGAATTGAATGAAATCATTGAATGGAATAGAATGGAATAACCATCAAATGGAATCGAATTGAATCACCATCAAATGGAATCGAGTAGAATCATCACCAAATGGAATTGAATGGAATCATGGAATGAACTCGAATGGAATCATCCTCTAATGGACTCGAATGGAATCAAAACCAAATGGAATCTAATGAATCCATTGAATGGACTCAAATGGAATTATCTTCGAATGGAATAGGAGGGAATCATTGAATGGAATTGAACTGAATCATCAAATGGAATCGAATGGAATCATCAAATGGACTCCAATGGAATCCTCATCGAATGGAATCAAATGGAATCATAGAATGGTATGGAATGCAATAATCATCAAATGCAATCAAATGGAATCATCATCTAATGCAGTCCAATGGAATCGTCAACGAATGGAATCGAATGGAATCATCGAATGGGATCGAAATGGAATTATCATCAAATGGAATTGAAGGGAATCATTGAGAGGTATCGAATTGAATCATCAAATGGAATCGAATGGAATCATCATCGAATGAAATCAAATGGACACTTCCAGTGGCCTCCAATGGAATTATCATAGAATGGAATTGAATGGAATCATGGAATGGACTCGAATAGAAACACCATTGAATGAAATCGAATTTAATCATTGAAAAGAATCAAATGGAATCATCATCTAAAGGAATCATCTAAAGGACTGAAATGGAATCATCTTCTAATGGAATCAAATGGAATCATTGGACTTGAATAGAAGCATCATCGAATGGAATCGAATGGAATCATTGAATAAAATCGAATGGAATCTTCATCGAATGGACTCGAATGGAATAATCATGGAATGGAATCAAACGGAATCATCCTCAAATGGACTCGAATGAAATCATCGAATGGACTCGAATGGAATCATCGAATGGAATTGAATGGAATCTTCGAATGGCCCCGAATGGAATCATGATCAAATGGAATCGAATGGAATCATTGAACGGACTCGAATGGAATCATGATCGAATGGAATCAAATGGAATCATCTAATGGAATCGAATGGAATCATAATCGAATGAAAACAAATGGAATCATTGAATGACATCAAATGGAATCATCATCGAATGGAATCGAATGGAATCATTGAACAGACTCGAATGGAATCATGATCGAATGGAATCAAATGGAATCATCTGATGGAATCAAATGGAATCATAATCGAATGAAAACAAATGGAATCATTGAATGACATCAAATGGAATCATCATCGAATGGAATCGAATGGAATCATCGAATAGACTCGAATGCAATCATCAGTGAATGGAATTGAATGGAATCATTGAATGGGCTCGAATGGAATCATCATCGAATGGAATCAAATGGAATCATCATCAAATGGAATCAAATAGAATCATCAAATGGAATCGAGTAGGATCATCGAATGAAATCCAATGGAATAATCTTCAAATGGAATCAAATGGAATCATCATAGAATGGAATCATCATCCAATGGAATCGAATGGAATCATCATTGAATGGTATCAAATGGAATCATCAACGAGTGGAATCGAATGGAATTATTGAATGGAATGGAATGGAATCATCATCAAATGGAACCGAATGGAATCATCATCAAATGGAACCTAATGGAGTCATCATCGAATGGAATCTAAAGGAATCATCATCGAATGGAATTATCATTGAATGTACACGAATGGAATAATCATCGAATGGAATCGAATGAAATCTTTGAATGGTCTCGAATGGAATCAACATCGAATGGAATCGAATGGAATAATCGAATAGAAACATCATCGAATGAAATCGAATGGAATCATCGAATGAAATTGAATGGAATCATCATCAAATGGAATCGAATTGAATCATCAAATGGAATCGAATGGAATCATCATCAAATGCTATCGAATGGAATCATAGAATGGTTTTGAATGGAGTCATCATCAAATGGAATCAAATGGAATCACCATCGAATGGAATCAAAAGCAATCATCAAATGGATTTGAATAGAATCATTGAATGGACACAAATGGAATCATCATTGAATGGAATCTGATCAAATCAACATATGGAATCGAATGGAATCATAATTGAAATGAATCAAATGGAATCATCTAATGGACTGGAATGAAATCCTCATCGAATGGAAACAAATGGAATCATCGAATGGACTCGAATGGGATCATCATCGAATAGAATCGAATGGAATCATCCTCAAATGGACTCGAATGGAAGCTTTAAATGGACACGAATGGAATCATTGAATGGAATCTTATGCAATCATTATCAATGGAATTGACTGGAATAATCATCAAATGGAATGGAATAGAATCATTGAATGAAATCAAATGGAATTATCATCAAATGGAATTGAATGGAATCCTCATCGAATGGAATCATCATCAAATGGAATCAATTGAAATCATCATCAAATGGAATCGAATGGAATCATCAACGAAAGGAATCGAATGGAATCATTGAATGGAATGGAATGGAATCATCATCCAATGGAACCGAATGGAATCATCATCAAATGAAACCTAATGGAATCATCATCGATTGGAATCGCATGGAATAATCATCAAATGGAATCAATTGGAATCATCATTGAGTAGAATCGAATGGAATCATTTTCTAATGGACTCGATTTGAATCATCAAATGGACACGAATGGAATCATTGAATGGACTCTCATGCAATCATCATCAATGGAATCGAATGGAAAAATCATCAAATGGAAAGGAAAGGAATCATCATCGAAGGGAATCAAATGGAATCATCAACAAATGGAATCAAATGGAATCATCAAATGAAATCAAATGGAATTATCATTCAAAGGAATCGAATGGAATCATCATTGAATGGAATCAAATGAAATAATCATCGAATGGAATTGAATGGAATCATCAACGAATTGAATCGAAAGGAATCATCAAATGGAAACTAATGGAATCATCATCCAATGGAACTGAAAGGAATCATCATCAAATGAAACCTAATGGAATCATCATCGAATGGAATTGCATGGAATCATCATCGAATGGATTCAAATGGAATCAACATCGAATGGAGTCCAATGGAATCATCAACGATTGGAATCGAATGGAATGACCATCTTATGGAATCGAAGGGAAACATCGAATGGAATTGAATTGAATCATAGAATGGACTCGAATGGAATCATCATCGAATGGAATCGAATGGAAACTTCGAATGGACTCGAATGGAATCATCATAGAATGGAATTGGATGGAGTCATCGAATGGACTCGAATAGAAACATCATTGAATGAAATTGCATGGAATCATCGAAAGGAATTCAATGGAATCCTCATCGAATGGTATCATTGAATGGAATGGAATGGAATCATCATCGAATGGAAATGAAAGGGATCATAGAATGGTATTGAATGGAATCATAATCAAATGGAATAGAATGGAATCATCATCGAATGGAATTGAAAGCAAACATCGAATGGATTCGAACAGAATAATTGAATGGACATGAATGGAATCATCATCCAATGGAAACGAATCAAATCATCTAATGGACAGGAATGGAATCCTCATCGAATGGAATTGAATGGAATCATCGTTGAATGGACTTGAATGGAATTGTCGAATGGGCTTTAATGGAATCATCGAATGGACTAGAATGCAAACATCATCAATGGAATCAAATGAAATTAAACTCAAATGGAGTCCAAACGAATCATCATCAAATGGAATCGAATGGAATCATTGAAAGGAATGGAATGGAATCATAATTGAAAGATATTGAAGTGAATCATCGAATGGAATCAAATTGAATCATCGAATTGAATCGAATGGAATCATCACTGAATGGACTCGAATGGAATCATCATGGGATGGGATCGAATGGAATAGTCAAATGGACCCGAATGGAAACATCGAATGGACTCGAATGGAATCATTGAATGGACTCGAATGGAATCATCATCGAATGAATTGAATGGAAACATCGAATGGAATCGAAAGGAATGATCATTAAATGGAATCGAATGGAATCATCGAATAGAATCAAATGGAATCATCATCAAACGAAATTGAATGAAATCATCGAATGGCATCGGATGGAATCATTGAATGGAATCCAATGGAATCATCGAATGGACTAGAATGGAATCATCTTTGAATGGAATCGAATGGAATCATCGAATGGACTCGAATTGAATCATCATTGAATGGAAATGATTGGAGTCATCATCGAATGGAATCGAATGGGATAATCATTGAATGGAATACAATGGAATCATCTAATGGAATAGAATGGAATCATCATTGAATGGAATCGAATAGAGTTATAGAATGAAATCTAATTGAATCATCATCGAATGTAATTGAATGGAATTGTCATCAAATGGAATCGAATGGAATCATCAATGAATGGAATCGAATGGAATCATCAAATGGAACCGAATGGAATCATCATCAAATGGAATCGAATAGAGTTAAAGAAAGAAATCAAATGGAATCATCATCAAATGGAATCGAATGGAATCATCAACGAATGGAATCGAATGGAATCATCATCGAATGAAATCGAATGGAATCTAATGGAATCTTCATCGTATGGAACTGAGTGGAATCATCATCAAATGGAACCAAATGGAGTCATCATCGAGTGGAATCAAATAGAATCATCATCGAATGGAATCGAATGGAATCATCAATGAATGGAATGGAATGGAATCATCAAATGGAATCTAACGGTATCATCATTGTATGGAACCGAATGGAATCATCATCAAATGGAACCTAATGGAGTCATCATCAAATGGAATGCAATGGAATCAGCATCAAATGGAATTGAATGGAATCATCATCGAATGGTTGTGAATGGAATCAGCATTGGATGCAATCGAATGGAATCATTGAATGGAATCAAATAGAATGATCATCGAATGGAATCAATGGGAATCATCGAATGGAATTGAGCAGTATGTTTGAATGGATTTGTATTAAATCATCGAATGGACACGAATGGAATCATCATCAAATGGAATCAAAAGGAATCAACATCAAATGAAGGTGAATTGAATCATCAAATGGAATCAAATGGAATCATCATCGAATGGAATTGAATGGAATCATAGAATGGTGTCGAATGGATTCATCATCAAATGGAATCGAATGGAGTCATCATAGAATGGAAACAAAAGCAAACATCAAATGGCTTCAAACAGAATCATCGAATGGACACGAATGAAATCATTATCCAATAGAAAGGAATGGAATCAACGAATGGAATTGGATGGAATCATCATCGAATTGAATCGATTGGAATCATCTAATGGAATGGAATGGAATCCTCATTGAATGGAATCGAATGTAATAATCGACTGGAAAAGAATGGAATCCTCATCGAATGGAAGGGAATGGAATCATCAAATGGAGTCGAATTTAATCGTCATCGAATGTAATTAAATGGAATCATCGTGGAATGGACACGAATGGAATCATCAAATGGACACTAATGGAATCATCGAATGGATTCTAATGCAATCATCATCAATGGAATTGAATGCAATGAAAATCATATGGAATCAAAAGGAATCGAATGGAATCATCAAATGGAATCCAATGGAATCAACATCGAATGGAAGTGAATTGAATCACTGAATGGAATCAAATGGAATCATCATTGAACGGAATCAAATAGAGTCATCGAGTGGAATAGAATGGAATCCTCATCTAATGGAATCGAATGGAATCATCGAATGGAATCGAGTGGAATCATCATCAAAAGTATTCGAAGTGAATCACTGAATGGAATCGATTTGAATCATCAAATAGAATTGAATGGAATCATCATCAAATGGACTCGAATTGAATCATAATGGGATGGAAACGAATGGAATCATCAAATAGACTCAAATGGAATCCTCGATTGGACTCGAATGGAATCATCAAGGAATGGATTCGAATGGAATCATCATCAAATGGAATCAAATGGAATCATCAATGAATGGAAGTTAATGCAATAATCATTGAATGAAATCAAATGGAATCATCGAATGGCATCAAATGGACTCATCACCAAATGGAATCGAATGGAAACATCGAATGGACACAAATGGAATCATCATCAAATGGAATCGAATGGAATTATTGAATGGACTCAAGTGGAATCATCATCAAAAGGAATCAAATGGAATCATTGAATGGAATGAATGGAATCATCATTGAACAGAATCGAATGGAATCATTGAATGGAATCTAATGGAATGATCATAGTATGGAACCGAATGGAATCATCATCAAATGGAACCAAATGGAGTAATCATCGAATGGAAATGAATGGAATAATCATCGAAAGGATTCGAATGGAATCATGATCGAATGGTTGCGAATGGAATCAGCATCAAATACAATCGAATGGAATCTTCGAATGGAATCAAATGGAATGATCATTGAATGGAATCAAAGGGAATCATCGAATGGAATGAAACGGTATGATCGAATGGAATCATATGGAATCATCGAAAGGACACGAATGGAATCATCACGAATGGAATCAAATGGAATCATCGAATGGAATTGAATGGAATCAACATTGAATGGAAGCGAATGGAATCATTGAATGGACTCGAATGGAATCATCATCGAATGGAATTGAACGGAATCATCATCGAGTGGAATGAAGGGAATCATCATCGAATGGAATCGAAAGGAATCATTGAATGGAATAGAATGGAATCATCCTCAAATGGAATCGAATAGAATCATCGAATGAAATCGAATGGAATCATCGAATGGACTCGCATGGAATCATCAACGAATGGATTCGAATGGAATCATCAAATGAACTCCAATGGAATCATCATCAAATGAAATCGTACAGAATTTTCGAAAGGACTCGAATGGAATAATCATCGAATGGATTCAAATGGAATCATCGAGTGAACTCGAATGGAATCATCATTAAATGGAATCAAACGGGATCATCGAATGGATTTGAATGGAAACATCAACGAATGGAATCAAATGGAATCATGGAATGGACTCGAATGGAGTCATCATCAAATGGAATCGAATGGAATCTGCAAATGTACACGAAAGGAATCATCATCAAATGGAATCGAATGGAATCTGCAAATGTACACGAAAGGAATCATCATCGAATGGAATCATTGAATGGAATCTAATGGAATCATTATCAAATGGATTAGAAGGGAATCATCATAGAATGGAATTGAATGGAATCATCAATGAATGGAATGGAAAGGAATCACCATCGAATGAAATCGAATGGAATCATGGAATGGCATCGAATGGAATCATCATCCAATGGAATCAAATGGAATCATCGAATGGACCCGAATGGAATCATCATTGAATGGAATCGAATGGAATCATTTAATGCACTCGAATGGAATCATCATCGAATGGAATGAATGGAATCATCATTGAGTTGGATAGAATGGAATTGTCGAATGGGATAGAACGGAATCCTCATCTAATGGAATCGAACAGAATCATCGAATGAAATGTAATGGAATCATTGAATGGACTCGAGTGGAATCATCATTGAATGGAATCGAATGGAATCATCAAATGGACTCGAATGGAATCATCATTGAATGGAATCGAATGGAATCATCGAATGGACTCGAATGGAGTCATCATCGAATGGAGTCTAATGGAATCATCGAATTTACTCGAAAGGAATCTTCATCTATTTGAATCGAATGGAATCATCATCGAATGGAATCGAATGGAATCATCATCGAATGAAATCTAATGGAATCATCGAATAACATCGGATGGAATCATCATCAAATGGAATGGAATGGAATCATCATTGAATCTAATTGAATGGAATCAACGAATGGAATAGAATGGAATCATCATGAATGGAATTGAATAGCATTATCGAATGAAATCAAATTGAATCATCACCGAATGGAATCGAATGGAATCATCATTGATTAGAATCGAATGGAATCATCAATGAATGGAATCGAATGGAATCATTGAACGTAATCTATTGGAATCATCATCGAATGGAACTGAATGGAATCATCATCAAGTGGAACCTAATGGTGTCATCATCGAATGGAATCATCAATGAATGGAATCCAATGGAACCATCATCGAATGGAATCGAATGGAATGATCATTGAATGGAATAGAAGGGAATCATCAAATGGATTCGAATGGTATCATAGAATGGAATCGAATGAAATCATCAAATGGACACAAAGGGAATCATAATCAAATGGAAAGGAATGGAATCACCAAACGGACTCTCATAGAAACATCATCAAATGAAATAGAATGGAATCATCGAATGGAATTGAATGGAATCATCATTAAGTGGAATAGAATGGATTCATCGAATGAAATCAAAAGGAATCATCATTGAGTGGAATCTAATGGAATCATCATCGAACGGAATCAAATAGAATCATCCAATGGAATTGAATGGAATCATCATCAAATGGAATCAAATGTAATCATCGAATGGACTCAAATGGAATCATCGAATGGACTTGAATGGAATCATCATCGGATGGAATCGAATGGAAACATTGAATGGAATCGAATGGAATCATTGGATGGAATCGAATGGAATCACTGAAAGAACTCAAATGGAATCATTATGTGGATTCAAATGGAATGATCATATGGGATCATGTGGAATCATCGAATGGTCTCAAATGGTATCATCATCGAATGGAATCAAATGGAATCATCAAATGGAATTGAATGAAATCATCATCGAATGGATTCAAATGGAATCATTGAATGGACTCGAATGGAATCATTTTCAAATGCAATCTAATGGAAACATCGAATGACATGAAAGGAATCATAATCGAATGGTAGCAAATGGAATCATCGAATGCAATTGAATGGAATCATCATCGAATAAAATGGAATGGAATCATCGAATGGCATCAGATGGATTCATCATCAAATGGAATTGAATGAAATCATCGAATGGACTCTAATGGAATCATCATCGAATTGAATCAAAGGGAATAATGAAATGGACTCTAATGGAATCATCATTGAATGGAGTGGAATGGAAACATTATCGAATGGAATCATCATTGAATGGTATCAAATGGAATCATCGAATGGAATAGAAAGGCATCATCATTGAATGGAATCGAATAGAAATACAGAATGAAATCCAACTGAATCATCATCAAATGGAATCGAATGGAATCATCACCAAATGGAATCCACTGGAATCATCATCGAATGGAACACAGTGGAATCATCATCATATGGAACCTAATGGAGTCATCATCGTTTGGAATCGAATGAAATCATCATCGAATGGAATTGAATGGAATCATAATCAAATGGAATCCAGTGGAATCATCATTGAATGGAATCAACTCGAATCATCGAATGGAATTGAATGGAATAATCATTGAATGGAATCGAAGGGAATCGTCAACTGTAATCTAACAGCATCATAGAATGGGACTGAATGGAATCATCTAACGGACTCGAATGGAATCATCATCGAATCAAATCGAATGGAATTATCAAATGGACTCAAAAGGAATTATCATGGAATGGAATCGAATGGAAACGAATAAAATCATCAAATGAAATCGAATGGAGTCATCATTGAATGGAATCCAATGGAATCAACATCGAATGGACTCGAATGGAATCATCATCAAATGGTATCAAAAAGAATCATCATCAAATGGATTCGAATGGAATAATCAATGAATGGAATGGAATGGAATTATTGAATGGAATCTAATGGAATCATCATTCAATGGAACTGAATGGAATCATCCTCAAATGGAATCTAACGGTGTCATTATCGAATGGATTCAAAAGGAATCATCATCGAATGGCATCAAATGGAATCATCATCAAATGGAATCGAATGGAATCATCGAATGGAATCGAACAGAATCATTGAATGGTCTCAAATGGAATCACCATCGAATTGAATCAAATACAGTCATCATTGAATGGACTCGAATGGAATCATCGAATGGCCTCGAATGCAATCAGCCTCTATGGAATCGAATGGAATCATCATCAAATGGAATCAAAAGGAATCATCATCGAAAGGAAACGAATGGAATCATCATCAAATGGAATCAAAAGGACGCATCATCAAACGGATTCAAATGGAATCATCATCAAATAAAATTGAAAGGAATCATCGAATGGAATCGAATGGAATCATCATAAAAATGAATCAAAGTGAGTCATCGAATGGAATCGAACTGAATCATAAAATGGTATCGAATGGAATCATCATCGAATGGAGTGGAATGGAATCAACATCGAATGGAATAGAATGGAATCATTGAATGAACTCGAATGGAATCATTGAATGAACTCGAATGGAATCATCATAGAATGCACTCGAATGGAATTATCATCTAATGGAATCAAATGGAATTATCAAATGGACTCGAATGGAATCATCGAATGGACTCGAATGGAATCATAATCGAATGGACTCAAATGGAATGATCGAATGGACTCAAATGGAATCATCGATTGGACCCAAATGGAATTATTGAATGGGCTCGAATGGAAATATCGAGTGGACTCGAATGGAATCATTATCAAATGGAATCATCGAAAGGAATCAAATAGAATCATCGAATGGAATCTATCAGAATCATCATCAAATGGAATCAAATGGAATCCTCAAATGGAAACTAATGCAGTCATCATCAAATGGAATCAAATGGAATCATCATCAAATAGAATCAAATGCAATCATCGAATGGATTCGAATGGAATCATCGTCGAATGTAATCGAATGGAATCATCGAATGGAATCATCAAATGGAATTGAAAGAATCAACATCGAATGAAATCGAATGGAATCATCATAGTATAGAATCGAATGGAATCATTGAATGGAATCATCATCAAATGGAGTCCAGTGGAATCATCGAATGGACTCGAATGGAATCATTGAATGGACTCGAATGGAATCATCGAAGGGGGTCGAATGGAATCATTATCTAATGGAATCAAATGGAATCATCATCAAATGGAATCAAATGGAATCAACACTGAATGGAATCGAATGGGATCATCGAATGGAATCAGATGGAATCATAATCGAATGAAATCGAATAGAAGCATCGAATGAAATCAACTGGAATCATCATCGAATGCAGTCAAATGGAATCAACATTGAATGGAATCTCATGGAATAATCAATGGATTGAATCAAATGGAATCATCGAATGGAATCCAAAGGAATCATCATCAAAGGGAAACGAATGGAATCATTAAATGGACTCGATTGGAATCATCAATGAATGGAATCAAATGGAATCATTGAATGGATTCCAATGGAATCATTACCAAATGGAAATGAACAGAATCATCCAATGGACTGAAATGGAATCACAATCGAATGGAATCGAATGGAATCATCAAATTAAATCGAATAAAATCATCATCGAATGGAATCGAATGGAACCAACACTGAATGGAATCGAATGGAATCATTGAATGGAATCTGGTGGAATCATCATCGAATGGAATCAAATAGAGGCATTGAATGAAATCGAATTGAATCATTACCGAACGGACTCAAATGGAATCATTGAAAGTAATTGAATGGAATCGTATTCGAATGGAATCGAATGGAATCATCGAATGGACATGAATGGAATAACCATCGAATGGAATCGAATGGAATCATCATCGAATGGACTCGAATGGAATCATCGTAGAATGGAATCGAATGGAATCATCATCGAATGGAACCGAATGGAAACATCATCGAATTGAATCAAATGGAATCATCATGGAATTGAATCAAATGGCTCATCATCAAATGGAATCAAATGGAATCATCAAATGGAATCGAATGGAATCAACATCGAGTGGAATCGAATGGAATCATCAAATGGAATCGAATGGAATCATCATCGAATGGCATCGAATGGAAACATCGAATGATATTGAATGGAATCATCATCAAACGGAGTCAAATGGAATCATCCTTGAATGGAATCTAATGGAAACATGAACGAAGGGAATCAAATGGAATCATCATTGAATGGACATGAATGGAATCATCTTCGAATGGACTCGAATGGAATCATCATCGAATGGACACAAATGGTGTCATCGAATGGACTCAAGTGGAATCATCAAATGGACTCGAATGGAATTATTGAATGGGAATGAATGGAATCATCATCGAATGGAATATCATGGAATCATCGAATTGCTTCTAATGGAATCCTCATCAAATGGAATCATCGAATGGAATCAGATGGAATCATCATCAATGAAATTGAATGGAACCATCGAATGGCATCGAATGGAATCATCATCCAATGGAATCAAATGGAATCATCTAACGGACTCGTATGGAATCATCATCGAATGGAATCGAGTGGAATCGTAGAATGGACACCAGTGGAATCATCATCGAATGGAATCAAATGGAATCATCATCAAAAGGAATCGAATTGAATCATCATAGAATGGAATCGAATGGAATTATCGAATGGAATAGAAGGGAATCATCATCAAATGGAATCAAATAGAATCATCGAATGAAATCGAATGGAATCATCATCGAATGGAATCTAATGGAATCATCATCGAATGGAATCGAATGGAATCATCAACAAATGGAATCGCATGAAATCATCAAATGGAAACTAATGGAATCATCATCACATGGATTCAAATGGAATCATCATGGAATGGAATCGAGTGGAATCATCATCCAATGGAATCGAATGGTATCACTGATTTGAATGGAATGATCATCGAATGGAATTGAAGGGAATCATTGAATGGGATCGAAAGGAATCATCAAATGGAATCGAATGGAATCATCATATGGATTCGAATGGAATGATCATCGACTGCAATCGAATGGAATCATCATTTGGATTCAAATGGAATCATCATCGACTGCAATTGAATGGAATCATCATCGACTGGAATCGAATGGAATCATCATCAAATGTTATCACATGGAATCATCAATGAATGGAATCGAATGGAATCATCAAATGGAACTGAATGGAATGATCATCGAATAGAATCGAATGGAATCATCGAATGGAATCGGAAGGGATCATCCAATAGAATCAAATGGAATCATTGAAGGGACTCGAGTGGAATCATCATTGAATTCAATCTAATGGAATCATTGAATGGACTCTAATGGAATCATCATCGAATGGAATCGAATGGAATCATCAAATGGAATCGAATGGAATCATCATCGAATGGCATCGAATGGAAACATCGAATGGAATCGAATGGAATCTTCGAATGGACTCGATTGGAATCATCATCAAATGCAATCAAATGGAATCATCATAGAATGAAATCAGATGAAATCATCATCAGAGGGAATCGAATGGAATCATCACTAAATGGAATGGAATGGAATCATTGAACAGAATCAGATGGAATCATCATCAAATGGAATCGAAGAGAAGCATCCAATGAAATCCAATGGAATCATCAATGAGTGGACTTGAATGGAATCATCATCGAATGGACTCGAATGGAATCATCGTCAAATGCATTCGAATGGAATGATCATCAAATGGACTGGAATGGAAACATCATCGAATTGAATGAAATGGAATAATCATGAAATTGAAGCAAATGGTTCATCATCGAATCGAATCGAATGGAATCATCATCGAATGGAATCATCGAATGGACTCGAAAGCAATCACCGAATGGACTCGAATGGAATAATCATCGAATGGAATAGAATGGAGTCATTGAATGGACTCAAATGGAAGTATCATTGAATGGAACAGAATGGAATCATAGAATGAACTCGAATGGAATCATCATTGAATGGACTCGAATGGAATCATCATCAAATGGACTCGAATGGAATCATCGAATGGATTCGAATGGAATCATCATCGAATGGAATCCAATGGAATCATCAAATGGAATTGAATGGAATCATCATTGACTGGGATTGAATGGAATCATCGAATGGATTCGAATGGAGTCATCATGGAATGGAATCAAATGGAATTATCGAATGGACTCGAACGGAATCAACTTTGAATGGAATTGAAGGGAAGCATCGAAAGGAATCGAATGCAATCATTATCGAATGGAATCAAATGGAATCAAAAGGAATCATCGAATGGAATCGAATGGAATCATCAAATGGACTCGAATGTAATCATCATAGAATGGAACCAAATGGTGTCAAAGAATGGACTCAAATGGAATCTTTGAATGGAGTCGAATGGAATCATCGAATGGAATCCAATGGGATCATCATCGAATGGAATTGAATGGAACCAACAACGAATGGAATCGGATGGAATCATTAAAAGAAATCCAATGGAATCATCATCAAATAGAAACGAATGGAATCATCGAATGGACTCGTATGGATTCATCATCGAATGAAATCGAAAGTATTCAATTCCATACAATGGAATTGAATGGAATCATCATTGAATGCAATAGAATAGAATTATTGAATGGAATCAAATAGAATCATCAATGAATGGAATCAAATGGAATCATTTAATGGACTTGAATCATCATCAAATGGAATCAGATGGAATCAATGAAGGGACCAGAATGAAATTATCGAATGGACTTGAATGGAATCATAATCGAATGGAAACGAAAGGAATCATTGAATGGAATCGAATGGAAACATCATTGCATGGAATCAAATGGAATCATTGAATGGAATTGAATGGAATAATTGAATGGAACCGAATGCAGTCGTCCTCGAATGGAATCGAATGGAATCATCAAACGGACTTGAATGGAATCATCATCGAATGGAATAGAATGGAATCACCTACCGGAATCAAATGCAATCATCGAATGGACTCGAAAGGAATCATCATCAAATGGAATAGAATGGAATCATCAAATGGACTTGAATGGAATTATCATTGAATGGAATTGAATGGAATCATCATCGAATGGAATAGAATGCAATCATCGAATGGACTCAAATGGAATTATCATGGAATGGAATAGAATGGAATCATCGAATGAACTCGAATGGAATCATCATCGAATGAAATCGAATGGAATCATCAAATTGATTCTAATGGAATCATCATCGAATGGAATCATGTGGAATCGTCGAATGAACTCAAAATGAATCATAATCGAATGGCATCGAAAGGAATCATCATCGAATGGAATCACATGGAATCATCTTGGAATGGAATCATACGGAGTCATCATAGAATGGAATTGAATGGAATCATCAAGTGGACTAAAAGGGAAGCGTCGAATTGACTTGAACCAAATCATCATCAAATGGAATCGAAGGGAATAATCGAAAGGACCCGAATTGAATCATCAAATGGACTCAAACGGAATCATTATAGAATGGAATCGAATAGAATCATCAGATGGACTTGAATGGAATCATCATTGAATGGAACTGATTGGAATCATTGAATGCACTCAAAAGGAATCATCATCAAATGGAATTGAATGGCATTAATGAATGGTCTCGAATAGAATCATCGTCAAATAAAATCCATTGGAATCATCTGATGGAATCGAATGGAATTATCGAATGGAATTGAATGGAACCATCTTTGAATGGAATGGAATGGAATCATCGAATGGATTCGAATACAAAAATCATTGAATGGAATCGAATGGAATCATCGAATGAAATCGAATTTAATCACCATTGAATGGACTCAAATGGAATCACTGAATGGAATGGAATAGATTCATCTTCCAATGGAAACAAAGAGAATCATTGAATGAATTCAAATGGAATCATCATCGAATGGAAACGAATGGAATCATCATCAAATGGAATCGAATATAATCATCATCAAACGGAATGGAAAGGAATCGTTGAATGGATTGGAAGGGAATAATCATCGAATTGAATCGAATATAATCTTCGAATGAACATGAATGGAATCATCATCAAATGGAATCGAATATAATCTTCGAATGCACTCGAATGGAATCATCATAGAATGCAATCGAATGGAATCATAATCGAATGGAATCAAAAGGAATCATCATCGAATGGAATCCAATGGAATCCTCCAATGGAATAGAATTGAATCATAATCAAATTGAATCGAATAGAATCATGAAATTGAATGGTATCATCATCGAATGGAATCACATGGAATCATCAACGAATGGAATCGAATCGAATCATCAACGAATGGAATCGAGTGGAATCATCGAATGGAATCCCATGTAATCATCATCGAATTGAACCCAATGGAATCATTACATGGACTCGAAATGAATCATCAAATGGACTCAAATGGAATCATCATTGAATGGAATAGAATGGAATAATCGAACGGAAACGAATGGAATCATCATGGAATGAAATCAAATGGAATCATCGTATGGACTCGAATGGAATCATCATTGAAAGGAATCGAATGGAATCATTGAATGGTCTCGAATGGAATCATCATCGAATGGAATCAAAAGGAATCTTCGAATGGACTTCAATGGAATGATTGAATGGACTCTAATGGAATCTTCATCGAATGGAATTCAATGGAATCATCAAATGGACACTAATGGAATCACCATCGAATGGAATCGAATGAAATCATCGAATGGAATCAAATAGAATCTTCATTGAATAGAATCGAATGGAACCGTCATCGAATGGGATCTGATGATATCATCATCGAATGGAATCTAATGGAGTCATCATCTAATGGAATTGAATAGAATCAGCAAGGAAGGGAATCGAATGGAGAAATCGAATGGAATCCGTTGGAATCATTGAATGGAACCGAATGCAGTCATCAGAGAATGGAATCAAATGGAATCAAAGAAGGGACTCGAATGGAACCATCATTGAATGGAAATGGATGGAATCATCGAATGGACTCGGATGGAATCATCGAATGGGCTCTAATGGAATCATCATCAAATGGAATCAAATGGAATCTTCGAATGGACTCTAATGGAATCATCATCGAATGGAATCGAATGGAATCATCAAATGGACTCGAATGGAATCATTGAATGTACTCGATTGGAATCATCATCGAATGGAATCGAGTGGAATCCTCAAATGGAATCAAATGGAATCATCAATTGGTATCGAATGCAATCATCATCAAATGGAAACGAATGGAATCATCGAATGGAATTGAATGCAATCATCTTCAAAAGGAATCGAATGGAATCATCTTTGAATAGAATAAAATGGAGTCATCAAATAGAATCAAATGGAATCATCGTCAAGTTTAATCGAGTGGAATCATAAAAGGAAATCGAGTGGAATCATTGTTGAATGGAATGGAATGGAATCAATGAATAGAAATGAATGGAATCACCAATGAATGGAATTGAATGGAATCATCATCATATGGAATTGAATAGAATCATCAAATGGACTCGAACGGAATCATCATTGAATGGAATCACATGGAATCATCATCGAATGGAATCATACGGAAACATCATCGACGGGAACTGAGTGAAATGAAATTTGGACTCGAATGGAATCATCAAATGGACTCGAATGGAAGTGTCAAATGGACCCGAATGGAATCATCATCAAATGGAATCGAAGGGAATCATCGAATGGAATCAAAAGGAATCATCATTGAACGAAAACGAATTTAATCATCTAATGCACTAGAATGGAATCATCATCGAATAGAATTGAATGGAATCATAGAATGGACTCGAATGGAATCATAATAAAATGAAATTGCATTGAATCTTCGAATGCACTTGAATGGAGTCATCATCGAATGGAACCAAAAGGAATCATTGAATGGACTCGAATGCAATAATCATCGAAAGGAATGGAAAGGAATAATCAAATGAAATCAATGGAATCATCTTCAAATGGAATCAGATGGAATCATCGAATGGACTTGAATGGGATCATTGAATGGACTCGAATGCAATCCTCATCGAATGGAATTGAATGGAATCATCGAATGGTCTCGAATGGAATCATCATCGAATGGAATCAAATGGAATCATTGAATGGAATTGAATGGAAACATCGAATGGACTCGAATGGAATCATCTTCAAATGAAATTGCATTGAATCTTCGAGTGGAATCGAATGGAGTCATCATTGAATGGAATAGAATGGAATCATTGAATGGACTCGAATGGAATAATCAACGAATGGAATGGAAAGGAATCATCAAAATAAATCAATGGAATCATCATCGAATGAAATCAAATGGAATAGTCAAATGGCGCCGAATGGAATCATCATCGAAAGGAATCAAATGGAATCATCTAACAGAATCGAGTGGAATAATCATTGAATGAAATCGAATGGAAACATTGAATGGACATAAATGGAATCATCACTGAATAGAATCGAATGGAATCATCATCAAATGGAATTGAATAGAATCGTCATCGAATGGAATCGAATGGAATCATCAAACAGAATAGAATGGAATCATCATCGAATGGAATCAAATAGGATCATTGAATGAAATAAAATGGAATCATCATCGAATGGAATTGAATGGCATCATCATCAAGTGGAATCGAATGGAATCATCATCGAATGTAATTGAATGGAATCATCATTGAAAGGAATCGAATGAATTCATCATCAAATGGAACCGAACAAAGTCATCACCGAATGGAATTGAAATGAATCATAATCGAATGGAATCAAATGGTATCTTCGAATTGACTGGAATGCAATCATCCACTGGGCTTCAAAGGAGTCATCATGAAATGGAATCAAATGTAATCATCGAATGGACTCGAATGGAATCATCATCAAATGGAATCAGATGGAATCATTGAATGGAAGTGAATGGAATCATCGAATGGACATGAATGGAATCATCATTGAATGGAATTGAATGGAATCATTGAATGGTCTCGAATGGAATCATCATCGAATGGAATCGAATGGAATCATTGAATGGAATCGAATGGAATCATCGAATGGACTCGAATGGAATCATCATTGAATGGAATCAGTGAATGGTTTTGAATGGAATCATCATCGAATGGAATTGAATAAAATCGGCATTGAATAGAATCGAATGGAATCATCAACGAATGGAATCGAATGGAATTTTCATCAAATGGAATCGAATGGAATCATCATTGAATAAAATCGAATGGGATCATCGAATGAAATAGAATGGAATCATCATCAAAAAGAATCAAAGTAAAACAAAGAATGGAATATAACAGACTCATTGAAGGGAATCAAATGGAATAATCATTGAAAGGACTCAAATATAGTTATCATCGAATGGAGTTGAATGGAATCATTTAATGGACTCGACTGGAATCGTCGAATGGACTAGAATGGAATCATCGAATGGAATCAAATGAAATCATGGAATGCACGTGAATGGAATCACTGAATGGACTCAAATGGAATCAACTTCGAGTGGAATCGAAAGGAAACATCGAATGGACTCGAATGGAATCATCATCTAATGGAATCGAATGGAATCATCAGCGAATGGAATCGAAAGGAATCATCATGGAATAGAATCGAATGGAAACATCGAATGGAATGGAATGGAATCATCATGGAAAGGAATCGAAGGGAATCATCAAATGGAATCAACGGAATCATCGAATGGAATTGAAAGGAATCATAATCGAAAGGACTCGAATGGAATTATCATTGAAAGGAATCGAATGGAATCATCAAATGGACTCGAATGGAATAATCAAATGGACTTCAATGGAATCATCAAATGGACTCGAATGGAATAATCAAATGAACTTCAATGGAATCATCAAATGGAATTGAATGGAATCATCAAATGGACTCGAATGGAATCATCATCAAATGAAATTGGATGGATTCGATGAATGGACTCGAATGGAATCATTGAATGGACTCGAATGGAATCATCATTGAATTGAATCGAATGGAATCATTGGGTGGAATCGAATGGAATCATCATCGAATGGAATCGAATGGGATTATCATCAAATGGAATCGAATGGGATCATCATCAAAGGTAATCCAATGGAATCACCGAATGGTCTCGAATGTAATGATCAAATGGACTCGAATGGAATCACCAACTGGAATCGAATGGAATCATCGAAAGGACTCAAATGGAATTAATGAATGGACTTGAAGGGAGTCATCAAATGAACTCTAATGGAATCATCATCAAATGGAATGGAATGGAATCATCAAATGGACACGAATGGAATCATTGAATGGACTTGAATGAAATCATCGAATGGACTCGAATGGAATCATCATCGAATGGAATTGAATGGAATCCTCGAATAGAATCAAATGCAATCATCAAATGGAATCGAACAGAATCATCATCAAATGGAATCAAATGGAATCATCGAATGGAATCGAATGCAGTCATCGTCTAGTGGAATCAAATGGAGTTATCATCAAATAGAATTGAATGGAATCATCGAATGGAGTCGAATGGAATCATCGTCGAATGTCATTGAATGGAATCATCGAATGGAATCATATGGAATCATTGAATGGAATTGAAAGGATCAGCATCGAATGAAATCAAATGGAATCATCAACTAATAGAATCGAATGGAATCATTGAATGGAAACATCATCAAATGGAGTCAAATGGAATCATCAAATGGTCTCGAATGGAATCATCATAGAATGGAATTGAAAGGAATCATCGAATGGAATCGAATGGAATCATCGGAGAATGGAATTTAAAGGAATCACCATCGAAAGGAATTGAATAGAATAATCATTGAATGGAATCATCATCGATTGGAATCAAATGGAATCATCAACAAATGGAAAAGAATGGAATCATCAACTAATAGAATCAAATGGAGAAATCGAATGGAATCCGTTGGAATCATCATCAGATGGAACCAAATGCAGTCATCATCGAATGGAATCGAATGGAATCATCAAATGGATTAGAATGGAATCATCATCGAATGGAATTGAATGGAATCATTGAATAGCATCGAATGGAATCATCGAATGAACTCGAATGGAATCATTATCAAATTGAATCAAATAGAATCAACATCAAATGGAATTGAACGGAATGATCGAATTGAATTGAATAGAGTCATCATAGAATGAACTCAAATGGAATCATCGAATGGACTCGAATAGAATCATCATCAAATGGAATCGAATGGAATCATCTAATAGACTCGAATGGAATCATCATCGAATGGAATCAAATGGAATCACTGAATGCACTCGAATGGAATCATCACAGAATGGAGTCGAAAGGAATCATACAACAGACTTTAATTGAATCATTGAAAGTAATCGAATGGAATCATATTCGAATGGAATCGAATGGAATCATCGAATGGACATGAATGGAATAACCATCGAATGGAATCGAATGGAATCATCATTGAATGGAATCAAATGGAATCGTCATTGAACAGAATCGAATGGAATCATCATCGAATGGAATCAAATGGAATGGTTATTGAATGGAATCGAATGGAATCATCATCGAATGGAAACTAGTGTAATCATCATCTAATGGAAACGAATGGAATCATCAACGAATGGAATCAAATGGAAAAATCGAATGGGATCCGTTGGAATCATCATCAAATGGAACCGAATGCAGTCATCATAAAATGGAATCAATTGGAATCCTCAAATGGATTAACATGGAATCTACACCGAATGGAATTAAATGGAATAATCGAACAGACTTGATTGAAGTCATCATCAAATGGAAACGAATGGAATCATTGAATGGACACGAATGGAATCATCGTGGAATGGAATCGAATGGAATCATCGAATGGCATTGAATGGATTCATCATTGAATGGAATCTACTGAAATCATAGAATGGACACGAATGGAATCACCCAATGGAATTGAGTGGAATCATCATCGAATGGAATCGAATGGAATCATCAAATAGACTCGAATGCAATCATCATCGAATGGAATCAAATGAAATCATAATCGAATGGAATGGAAAGGAATCATCAGCTAATGGAGTCGAATGGAATCATTGTTGAGTTGAATAGAATAGAATGGAGTCACCATATTGAATCAAATGGAAAGATCATCGAATGGAATCGAAGGGAATCATTGAATGAGATTGAACGGAGTCATCGAATGGAATCGAGTGGAATCATCGAATGGATTCGAATGGAATCATCATCGAATGGAATTGAATGGAATCATCATTGAATGGAACCGAATAGAATCATCATCGAATGGAACCAAAAGGAGTCATCATCGAATTGAATTGCATGGAATCATCATCAAATGGAATTGAATGGAATCATCAAATGGAATTGAATGGAATCATCATCGAATGAATTGAATGGAATCATGGAATGGTCTCGAATGGAATCATTATCAAATGGAATCGAATGGAATCACCGAATAGAATCGAATGGAATAATCATCGAATGGACTCAAATGGAATTATCATCAAATGGAATTGAATGGAATTATCAAATGGAATTGAATAGAATCATCGTATGGACTCGAATGGAATCATTGAATGGAATGGAATGGAATAATCAATGAACTCGAATGGAATCATCATTGAATGGAATCGAATGGAATCATTGAGTGGAATTGAATGGAATCATGATCAAATGGAATCGAATGGAATCATCATTGAATGGAATCGAAAAGAATCATCATCAATTGGAATTGAATGGAATTGTCATCAAATGGAATCCAAAGGAATCATCATCAAATGGAACCGAATGGAATCATCATTGAATGGAAACGAAAGGAGTCATCATCGAATGGAATCGCATGGAATCATCATCGAATGGAATCGAATGAAATCATCATCAAATGGAATCTAATGGAATCATCGAATGGAATTGAATGGAATCGCCATCAAATGAATTGAATGGAATCATCAAATGGTCTCGAATGGAATCATCTTCAAATGGAATCGGATGGAATCATCGCATAGAATCGAATGTAATTATCATTGAATGGACTCAAATGGAATCAACATCAAACAGAATCAAACGGAATTATCGAATGGAATTGAAGAGAATCATCGAATGGACTTGAATGGAATCATCGAATGGAATGGAATGGAATAATCCATGGACTTGAATGCAATCATCATTGAATGGAATCGAATGGAATCATCGAATGGACTCAAATGGAATAATCATCGAATGGAATAGAATAGAATCATCGAATGAAATCGAATGGAATCATCATCTAATGGAATCGAATGGAATCTCCAACGAATGGAATCCAATGTAATCATCATCGAATTGAAACCAATGGATTCATTAAATGTACTCGAATGGAATCATCAAATGGACTCGAATGGACTCATCATCAAATGAAATAGAATGCAATCATCAAATGGAATCGAATGGAATCATCATTGAATGAAATCAAAGGCAATGATCGAATGGACCCAAATGGAATCATCATCGAATGGAATCGAATGGAATCATCGAATGGACTCGAATGGAATCATCATCAAATGGAATAGAAAGGAAACATCGAATGGACTTGAATGGAATCATTGAATGGACTCGAATGGAATCATCATGGAATGGAATCGAATGGAATCATCGAATGAAATCGAGTGGAATCATCATCGAATGGAGTCAAATGGAATCATCATTGAATGGAATCAAAAGGAATCATCATTGAATGGAATTGAATGGAATTATCATCTAATGGAATTGAAGGGAATCATCAACAAATTCAATCAAATCTAGAAATCGAATGGAATCCGTTGGAATCATCATCAAATTGAACCAAATGCAGTCATCATCAAATGCAATCGAATGGAATCATCATCGAATGGAATTGAAAGGAATCATCATCGAATCAAATAGAATGGTATCATCGAATGGAATAGAATGGAATCATCATCGAAAGAAATCATAGGGAATCATCAAATGGAATCGAACGGAATCATCTAATGGAATCGAATGTAATAATCATTGAATGGAATCGAATGGAATCATCGAATAGACTCGAATGGAATAATCGAATGGACTCGAATGGAATCATCAAATGGAATCAAATGGAATAATCGATTGGACTCGAATGGAAACATCATCAAATTGTATCGGATGGAATCAATGAAGGGACTAGAACTGAATCATCGAATGGACACGAATGGAATCATCATTGATTGGACAGGAATGGAATCATTGAATGGAATCGAAAGGAATCATCATGGAATGGAATCGAATGGAATCATGACCGTATGGAATTGAAAGGAATCATCATGGAATGGAATTGAATGGAATCATGACCGTATGGAATCGAATGGAATCATCATCGAATGGAATTGAATGGAATCGAATGGAATCATCAATGAATGGAGTCGAATGGAGTCATCGAATGGAGTCCTTTGGAATCATCATCGAATGGAACTGAATGCAGTCAGCATCGAATGGAATCAAATGGTATCATCAAATGGACTCGATGGAATTATCATCACAAGGAATCAAATGGTATCATCTAATCAACTCGAATGGAGTCATCTTTTAGTGGAATCGAATGGAATCATCGAATGCACTAGAATGGAATCATCATTGAATGGAAACGAAAGGAATCATCGAAAGGACTTGAATGGAATCATTGAATGTACTCGAATGGAATCAAATGGAATCATTGAATGGACCCTAATAGAATCACCATCGAATGGAATCGAATTGAATCATCGAATGGAATCGAATGGAATCATTATTGAATGGAATTGAATGGAATCGTCATTGAATGGAATTGAATGGAATCATCATTGAATGGAATCTAATAGAATCATCATTTAATGGAAACGAATGGAATCATCAATGAATGGAATCAAATGGAGAAATCGAATGGAATCCGTTGGAATCATCATCAGATGGAATTGAATGCAGTCATCATCGAATGGAATTGAAAGGAATCATAATTGTAAGGAATTGAATTAAATCATAGTCGCATGGAATCAAAAGGAATCATCATCGAATGGAGTCGAATGGAATCATAATTTAATAGAATCGAATGGAATACTGAATTGAATCAAATGGAATGATCATCGAATGGAATCGAAGGGATTCATCAAATGGGATCGAATGGAGTCATCGAATGGAATCACGTCGAATCATCGAATGGATTCGAATGGAATCATCATCAATTGGAATCGAATGGAAACACCATCAAATTGAATCAAAGGGAATCATCACGGAATTGAAATGAATAGACTCATCAGCGAATGGATTCAAAGGGAATCATCTATTGGAATTGATTGGAATCATCATCGAATGGAATGGAATGGAATCATTGAATGGAATCGAATGAAATCATCACTGAATGGAATTGAATTGAATCATCGAATGGACTCTAATGGAATCATCATCGAATGGAATCAGATGGAATCATCAAATGGACTTGGAGTCATCAAATGGACTCGAATAGAATCATTATTGAATGGAAATGAATGGAATCATCGAAAGGTCTCGAATGGAATCATAATCGAATGGAATAGAATGGAATCATCGAATGGAATCGAATGGAATCATCATCAAAAGGAATCAAATAGAATCGGCATCAAATATAATCGAAGGCAGTCATCATCGAATGGAATCGAATGGAATTTTCATCAAATGGGATCGAATGGAATCATCATGGATTAGAATCAGATGGGATCATCGAATGAAAGAGAAAGGATCATCATCAAAAAGAATCAAAATAAAACAAAGAATAGAATCCAACGGAATCATTGAATGGAATCAAATGGAATCATCACTGAATGGATTTGAATGGAGTGATTATCGAATGGAATCGAATGGAATCATTTAATGGACTCAAAAGGAATCATTGGACTCGAAAGGGATCATCGAATGGAATCGAATGGAATCATCATCAAATGAAATAAAATGGAATGATCGAATGGACTCGAATGGAATCATCATCAAATGGAATCGAATGAAATCATGGAATGCACTCGAATGGAATCATCGAATGGACTCCAATGGAATCAATATCGAGTGTAATCGAAAGGAAACATCGAATGGAATTGAATGGAATCATTGAATGGAATCATCGAATGGAATAATCATCAAATGGAATCGACTGGAATCATCGAATGGACCCGAATGGAATCAAAAGGAATCATCAAATGGAATCATCATTGAATGGAATCGAATGGAATAATGATGGAATGGAGTCGAATGGAATCATCATCGAATGGAATTGAATGGAAACATCATCGAATGGAATCGAATGGAATCATCAATGAATAGAATGGAATGGAAACATCATCAAATGGAATCGAATGGAATCATCAATGAAAGGAATCAATTGGAGTCATCGAATGGAGTCTGTTGGAATCATCATCGAAAGGAATCAAATGCAGTCATCTTCAAATGAAATCAAATGGAATCATCAAATGGACTCGATGGAATCATCATCACATGGAATCAAATGGAATCATCCAATGGACTCGAATGCAATCATCAAATGGAACTGAATGCAGTCATCATCGAATGGAATCATCAAATGGATTAGAATGGAATCATCATCGAATGGAATTGAATGGAATCACCGAATGGACTCGAATGGAATGACCATCAAATGGAATCGAATGGAATCATTGAATGTACAGGAATGGAATCATCGCTGAATGTATTCGAATGGAATCATCGAATGACATCGAATGGAATCATCTTTGAATGGAATCTAATGAAGTCATTGAATGGACTGGAATGGAATCATCGAATGGACTTGAGCGGAATCATCATTGAATGGAATTGAATGGAATCATCAAATGGACTCGAATGGAATCATCATCAAATGGAATTGAATATAGTCATAATCAAATGGAATCAAATGGAATCATCATCCATAGGATTCTATTGGAACAATCATTGAATAGAATCGAATGGAATCACCGAATTGAATCAAATGGAAGGATCATGAAATGGAATCAAAGGGAATCATCGAATGGGATTGAATGGAGTCATCGAAAGGAATCGAGTGGAATCATCGAAAGGATTCGAATGGAATCATCATCAAATGGAATTGAATGGAATCATCGAATGGAAACGAATGCAATCATCATTGAATGGACTCGAATGGATTCATCAAATGGAGTCGAGTGTAATCATCATTGAATAGAATTGAATGGAATTATCGAATAGCATCGAATGGAATCGTCAAATGGAGTCGAATGGAATCATCGAATGGACTCGAATGGAATCATCATTGAATGGAATCGAATGGAATCATCAAATGGACACGAATGGAATCATCATCGAATGGAATCAAGTGGAATCATCAAATGGAATCGAATGGAATCATCATTGAATGGAATCGAATGAAATCATCACTGAATGGAATCGAATGGAGTAATCAAAAGGAGTCCATTGGAATCATCATCGAATGGAATCGAATGGAATCATCAAATGGACACGAATGGAATCATCATTGAATGGAATCAAGTGGAATCATCGAATGGAATCGAATGGAATCATCATTGAATGGAATCGAATGAAATCATCACTGAATGGAATCGAATGGAGTAATCGAAAGGAGTCCATTGGAATCATCATCGAATGGAACCGAATGCAGTCATCATCAAATGGAATCAAATGGAATCATCGAATGGAGTCATTGGAATCATCATTGCATGGAATCTAATGGAATCATTGAATGGGCTGGAATGCAATCATCGAATGGACTCAAAAGTAATCATCATCAAATGGAATCGAAAGGAATCATTGAATTGAATCGAATGGAATTATCATAGAGTGGAATTGAATAGAATCATCGAATGGACTTGAATGGAATCATCATCGAATGGAATCGAATGGAAACATCTAATGGCATCGCATGGAAGCATCATCGAATGGAATTGAATGGAATCATCGAATGGCCTGGAATGGAATCATCATCGATTGGAATCGAATGAAATCATTGAATGGAATCGAATGGAATGATCATCGAATGGTATTGAATGGAATCCTCGAATGTAATCAAATGGAATCATCAAATGGAATTGAACAGAATCATCACTGAATGGAACCAAATGGAATCATCAAATGGAATCGAATGCAATCATCATTGAATGGAATGAAAGGGAATTATCGAATGGAATCGAAGGGAATCATTGTCAAGTGGAATCAAGTGGAATCATCGAATGGAATTGAATGGAATCATTGTCGAATGGCACGGAATGGAATCAATGAATGTAATTGAATGGAATCACCAATGAATTGAATGAAATGGAATCATCATCTAATAGAATCATATGGAATGAACGAATGCACTCGAATGGAATCATTATCGAATGGAATCGCGTGAAATCATCTAATGGGCAAGAATAGAATCATCATGGAATGGAATTGAATGGAATCATCTAATGTACTCGAATGGGATCCTCATTGAATGGAATAGAATTGAATCATCGAATGGAATCAAAAGGAATCTACATCATATGGAATCAAGTGGAATCATCGAATGGACTCGAATGTAATCATCTGAGAATGAAATCGAATGGAAACTTCCAGTGGGCTCGAATGGAATCATCATCGTATGGAATCAAATGGAATCATCGAATGGACTCGAATAGAGACATCATTGAATGAAATCGAATTTATTCATTGAAAGGAATCAAATGGAATCATCATCTAATGGAATCATCTAAAGGACTGGAATGGAATCATCTTTGAATGGAATCGAATGGAATCATTGAATGGACTTGAATAGAAGCATCATCGAATGGAATCGAATGGAATCATTGAATAAAATCGAATGGAATCTTCATCGAATGGACTCGAATGGAATAATCATGGAATGGAATCAAAAGGAATCATCCTCGAATGGACTCAAATGAAATCATCGAATGGACTCAAATGGAATCATCGAATGGAATTGAATGGAATCTTTGAATGGCTCCGAATGGAAACATCATCGAATGGAATCGAATGAAATAATCATGGAATGGAATCAAAAGGAATCACCCTCGAATGGACTCAAATGAAATCATCGAATGGACTCGAATGGTATCATCGAATGGAATTGAATGGAATCTTCGAATGGCCCTGAATGGAATCATCATCGAATGGAATTGAATGGAATCATTGAACGGACTCGAATGGAATCATGATCGAATGGAATAAAATGGAATCATCTAGTGGAATCGAATAGAATCATAATTGAATGAAAACGAATGGAATCATTGAGTGACATCGAATGGAATCATCATTGAATGGAATTGAATCGAATCATCGAATAGACTCGAATGCAATCATCAGCGAATGGAATTGAATGGAATCATTGAATGGGCTCGAATGGAATCATCATCAAATGGAATCAAATGGAATCATCATCAAATGGAATCCAATAGAATCATCGAATGGAATCAAATAGGATCATCGAATGAAATCTTATGGAATCATCTTCGAATGGAATTGAATGGAATCATCATCGAATGGAATCATCATCGAATGGAATTTAATGGAATCATCATTGAATGGTATCGAATGGAATCATCAACGAATGGAATCGAATGGAATCATCAAATGGAATCAAATGGAATCATCGTCAAATGGAAACAAATGGAATCATCATCAAATGGAACCTAATGGAGTCATCATCGAATGGAATCGAAATGAATCATCATCGAATGGAATCATCATCGAATGTACATGAATGGAATCATCATCGAGTGGAATCTTCGAATGGTCTCGAATGGAATCAACATCGAATGGAATCGAATGGAATAATCGAATAGAAACATCATCGAATGAAATCGAATGGAATCATCAAAAGGAATCGAATGGAATCCTTGTCAAATAGAATCACCGAATGGAATGGAATGGAATCATTATCGAAGGTAATCAAATGTAATCATTGAATGAAATTGAATGGAATCATCATCGAATGGAATCGAATTGAATCGTTGAATGAAATCGAAAGGAATCATCATCGAATGGAATCGAATAGAATCATCAAATGGAATCGAATGGAATCATCATCAAATGGTATCAAATGGAATCATAGAATGGTTTTGAATGGAATCATCATAAAATGGAATCGAATGGAATCACCATCGAATGGAATCAGAAGCAATCATCAAATGGATTTGAATAGAATCATTGAATGGACACGAATGGAATCATCATTGAATGGAATCTGATCAAATCAACATATGGAATTGAATGGAATCATAATGAAATGAGTCACATGGAATCATCTAATGGACTGTTCCATTAGAAGACATTCGAGTCTGTCTAGTTTTTATATGAAGATATTAACTTTTCCACCACATGCATTATATTGCTCCAAATGTCCACTTGCAGATTCTCCAAAAAGAGAGTTTCAATTCTGATCTATCAAAAGAAAGGTTTACCTCTTTGAGATGAATGCACACATCACAGAGAAATTTCTCAGATTGCTTCTGTCTACAATTTATGTGAAGATATTTCCTGTTCTAACATAGGCCGCTGAGCGCTCCAAATGTCCACTTGCAGATTCTACCAAAAGAGTGTTTCCAAACTGCTCATTCAAAGAAATGTTCAACTTTCTAGATGAATGCACACATCATAAAGAACTTTCTCAGAATTCTTCTTTCTACTTTTTATGTGAAGATATTTCCTTTTGTACCGTAGACCCGAAGGCACTCTAAAGGTCCACTTGCAGATTCTACAAAAAGAGTATTTCAAAACTGATCCTTCAAAGGAATGTTCAACTCTGGGGGTTGAATGCACACATCACAAAGTAGTTTTTCAGAATGCTTCTATGTAATTTTTATGTGATGATATTTCATTTTTCACCATAGGCCTGAACACCCTTCAAATGTCCACTTAGAGATTATACAAAAAGGGAGCTTTAAAACTCCTCTATCAAAATAAAGGTTTCAATCCGTTAGATGAATGCACACATCACAAACATGTTTCTAAAAATGCTTCTATTTTTTCTGTGAAGATATTTCCTTTTCCACCGTAGACCTCAAAGCGCTCTAAATGTCCACTTGTAGATTCTACAAAAAGAGAGCTTCAAAACTGCTCAATCAAAATAAAGTTTTAACTCTGTGAGATGAATGCACACATCACAAAGAAGTTTCTCAGATTGCTTCTGTCTAGATTTTTTGTGAAGATATTTCTTTTTCTAACATAGGCCACAAAGCGCTCTTAATGTCCACCTGCAGATTCTACAAAAAGAGTGTCTTCAAACTGCTCAATCAAAAGAAAGTTTCAACTCTGTGAGAGTAATGCACACATCACGAAGGAGTATATGAGAATTCCTCTGTCTAGTTTTTATGTGAAGATATATTCTATTCTACCATAGGCCTCAAAGCACTACAAATGTCCACTTGCAGATTCTACGAAAAGAGAGTTTCAAGACTGCTCAATCAAAAGAAAGGTTTAACTCTGTGAGATGAATGCACACATGATAAAGAAGGTTTTCAGATTACTTCTGTCTACACCTTATGTGAAGATATTTCCTTTTCCACCATAGGCTGCAAAGAGCTCCAAATGTCCACTTAAAGATTCTTCAAAAAGAGTGTTTCCAAACTGCTCCATCAAAAGAAATGTTCAACTTTGTGAGCTGAACTCACACATCACAAAGAAGTTTGTCAGAATTCTTCTGTCTAGTTTTTATGTGAAGATAATTCCTTTTCCACCATAGGCCTCAAAGCATTCAAAATGTCCACTTGCAGATTCTACAAAAAGAGAGTTTCCAAAGTGCTCAGTCAAAAGAAAGGTTTACTCTGTGAGATGAATGCACATGGCACAAAGAAGTTTGTCAGATTGCTTTTATCTAGATTTTATGTGAAGATATTTTCTTTTCTACCATAGGCCACAAAGCGCTCCAAATGTCCAGTTGCAAATTCTACAAAAAGAGTGTTTACAAACTGCTCAATCAAAAGTAAGGTTCAACTCTGTGATATGAACGCACACATCACAAAGTAGTTTCTCAGAATTCTGCTGTCTAGTTTTTATGTGAAGATATTTCCTTTTCCATCATAGGCCTCAAAGTGCTCCAAATGTCCACTTGCAGATTTTACAATAAGAGAGTTTCAAGACAGCTCAATCAAAAGAAAGTTTTAACTCTGTGAGATGAATGCACACATCACAAAGAAGTTTCTCAGATTGATTCTATCTAGATTTTATGGGAATATATCTCTTTTCTAACATAGGCTGCAAAGCGCTCCAAATGTCCACTTGCAGATTCCACAAAAAGAGTGTTTCCAAACTGCTTAATCAAAAGAAAGGTTCAACTCTGTGAGATAAATGCGTGCATCACAAAGAAGCTTCTCCAAATTCTTCTGTGTAGTTTTGATGTGAAAATATTTCCTTTTCCTCCACAGGCCTCAAAGCGCTCCAATTGTTAACTTCCAGATTCTACAAAAAGAGAGATTCAAAACTGCTCAATCAAAACAAAGGCTTAACTCTGTGAGATCAGTGCACACATCACAAAGAAGTTTCTAAGAATGCTTCTGTTGAGTTTTTATGTGAAGATATTTCCTTTTCCACCATAAGCCTCAAAGTGCTCCAAATGTCCACTTCCAAATTCAACAAAAAGAGAGTTTCAAAACTGCTCAATCAAAAATAAGAGTTAATCCTGTGAGATGAATGCACACATCCCAAAGAAGTTTCTCAGTTTGCTTCTGTCTAGATTTTATATGAAGATATTTCCTTTTCTAACATAGGCTGCAAAGTGCTTCAAAAGTCCACTTACAGAATCTACAAAATGAGTGCTTCCATAATTCTTAATCAAAAGAAAGGTTAAATTCTGTGAGATGAATGCACACATCACAAAGAAGTTTCTCAGAATTTTTCTCTCTAGTTTTTATGTGAAGATATTTCCTTTTCCACCATAGGCCTCAAAGCACTCCAAATGTCCACTTGCAGATTCTACAAAAAAAGAGTTTCAAAACTGCTCAATCAAAAGAATGGTTTAACTCTGTGAGATAAATGGACACATCACAAAGAGGTTTCTCACATTGGTTCTGTCTAGATTTTATGTGAAGATATTTCCTTTTATAACATAGACCACAAAGCGCTCCTAATGTCCACTTGCAGATTCTACAAAAAGAGTGTCTGCAAACTGCTCAATCAAAAGGAAGTTTCAACTCTGTGAGAAGAATGCACACATCACAAAGAAGTTTCTCAGAACTCTTCTGTCTAGTTTTTATGTGAAGATATTTCCTTTCCCACTGTAGGCCTCAAAGCACTCAAAATGTCCACTTGCAGATTCTACAAAAAGAGAGCTTCAAAACGACTCAGCCAAAAGAAAGGTTTCACTCTGTGAGATAAATGCACACATCACAAAGAAGTTTCTGAGATTGCTTCTGTCTAGATTTTATGTGAAGATATTTCCTTTTCTACCATAGGCAACAAATCACTCCAATAGTCTACTTGCAGATTCTACAAAAAGAATGTTTCTAAACTGCTCAATCAAAAGGAAGATTCAACTTTGTGAGATAAATGCATACATCACAAAGGAGATTCTCAGAATTCTTCTGTCAAGTTTTTATGTGAAGATATTTCCTTTTCCACCATAGGCCTCAAAACGATCTAAATGTCCACTTGCAAATACTTCAAAAACAGAGTTTCAAAACTGCTCAGTCAAAAGAAATTTTGAACTCTGTGAGATGAATGCACACATGCCAAAGAAGTTTCTCAGATTCCTTCTGTCTAGATTTTTTGTGAAGATATTACCTTTTCTACCACAGTCCGCATAGCGCTGCAAATGTCCACTTGCAGAATCTACATAAAAGAGTGTTTCAAAACTTCTCAATCAAAAGAAAGTTTCAACTCTTTGAAATGAAGGCACACAACACAAAGAAGATTCTAAGAATACTTCTGTCTAGTTTTTATGTGAAGATATTTCGTTTTCCACTAGATGCCCAAAAGCGCTACAAATGTTCACTAGCAGATACTACAAAAAGAGTGTTTCAAAACTTCTCAATCAAAAGAAAGGTTCAACTCTGTGACTTGAATGTACACAGCACAAAGAAGTTTCTGAGAATGCTGCTGTCTAGATTTTATGTGAAGATATTCCCGTTTCCAAGGAGGGCCTGAAGGCGTGCCAAATATCCACTGGCAGATTCTACTAAAGGAGTGTTTCAAAACGACTCTATGATGAGGTATGTTCCACTCTGTGAGTTGAAGGCAAACATCAAAAAGAAGTTTCTGAGAATGCTTCTCTCTAGTTTTGATGGGAAGATATTTCCTTTTCCACTATAGGCCTCAAAGTGTTCCAAGTGTCCACTTGCAGATTCTACAAAAAGAGTGTTTGAAAAATGCTCTATCAAAAGAAAGTTTCAACTCTGTGAGGTGAATGCACACATTAAAAACAAGTTTCTGAGAATGCTTCTGTCTAGTTTTTATGTGAAGATATTCCCGTTTCCAACGAAGGCTTCAAAGCAGTCCAAATATCCACTAACATATTCTACAAAAAGAGTGTTTCAAAAATGATCCATGAAAATGAATGTTCAACTCTGTGAGTAGAATGCAAACATCACAAAGAAGTTTCGGAGAATGCTTCTGCCTAGTTTTTATATGAAGATATTCCTTTCCCACCATAGGCCACAGAGCGCTCCAAATGTCCACTTACAGATTCCAAAAAAAGAGTGTTTCAAACCTGCTCTATCAAAAGAAAGGTTCAACTCTGTGAGGTGAATGCAAACATCACAAAGAAGTTTCTGAGAATGCCTCTGTCTAGATTTTATGTGAAGATATTTCCTTTTCTAACATAGGCTGCAAAACGCTTCAAATGTCCACTTGCAGAATCTACAAAAAGAGTTTTTCCATAATTCTCAATCAAAAGAAAGTTCAACTCTGTGAGATGAATGCACACATCACAAAGAAGTTTCTCAGAATTCTTCTCTCTTATTTTTATGTGAAGATATTTCCTTTTCCACCATAGGCCTAAAAGCACTCCAAATGTCCACTTGCAGATTCTACAAAAAAAGAGTTTCAAAACTGCTCAATTAAAAGAAAGGTTTAACTCTGTGAGATGAATGCACACATCACAAAGAGGTTTCTCACATTGGTTCTGTCTAGATTTTATGCGAAGATATTTCCTTTTATAACATAGGTCTCAAAGCGCTCCTAATACCCACTTGCAGATTCTACAAAAAGAGTGTCTGTAAACTGCTCAATCAAAAGGAAGTTTCAACTCTGTGAGAAGAATGCACACATCACAAAGAAGTTTCTCAGAATTCTTCTGTCTAGTTTTTATGTGAAGATATTTCCTTTCCCACCATAGACTTCAAAGTGCTCCAAATGTCCACTTGCAGATTCTACAAAAAGAGTGTTTCAAACCTGCTCTATTAAAAGAAAGGTTCAACTCAGTGAGTTGAATGCACACAGCACAAAGAAGTTTCTGAGAAATCTTCCATCTAGTGATTATGTGAAGATATTCACGTTTCCAACAAAGGCCTCTAATCGGTCCAATTAAACACGTGCAGATTCTACTAAAAGAGTGTTTTAAAACTGCTCTATGATAAGGTTTTTTCAACTCTGTGAGTTGAAGGCAAACATCACAAAGAAGTTTCTGAGAGTGCTACTGTCTAGTTTTCATGGGAAGATATTTTCTTTTCCACTATAGGCATCAAAGTGCTCAAATGTCCACTTGCAGAGTCTACAAAAAGACTGTTTTAAACCTGTTCTGTCAAAAGAAAGTTTCAACTCTGTGAGTTGAATGCACACAGCACAAAGAAGTTTCTGAGAAAGCTTCTGTCTAGTGTTTATGTGAAGATATTCCCGTTTCCAACGAATGCCTCAAAGCGGTCCAAATATCCACTTGCAGACTCTACTAAAAGAGTGACTCAAAACTGCTCTATGGTAAAGTATTTTCAACTCTGTGAGTTGAATGCAAACATCACAAAGACGTTTCTGAGAATGCTTCTGTCTAATTCTTATGTGAAGATATTTCCTTTTCCAATATAGGCCACAAAGCGTTCCAAATGTCCACTTGCAGATTCTGCAAAAAGAGTGTTTCAAACCTGCTCTATCAAAAGAAAGGTTCAACTCTGTGAGTTGAATGCACACATCACAAAGAAGTTTCTGATAATGCTTCTGTCTAGTTTTTCTGTGAAGATATTTCCTTTTACACCATAGGCCTGAAAGCTCTCCAAATGTCCCCTTGCAGATTATACAAAAAGAATGTTTCAAAACAGCTCTATCAAAAGAAAGTTTCAACTCTGTGAGTTGAAGGCACACATCACAAAGAAGTTTCTGAGAATGCTTCTGTCTAGTTTTTATGTGAGGATATTTCCTTTTCCACAATAGGCATCAAAGCTCTCCAAATGTCCAGTTGCAGATTCTACAAAAAGAGTGTTTCAAAACCGATCTATCAAAAGAAAAGGTCAACTCTGTGAGTTGAATGCACACATCACAAAGAAGTTTCTGAGAATAATTCTGTCTAGTGTTTATGTGATGATATTCCAGCTTCCAATGAAGTCCTCGAAGCACTTCAAATATCCACTTGCAGATTCTACGAAAAGAGTGTTTCAAAACTGCTCTATCAAAAAAAGGTTCAACTCTGTCAGTTGAATGTAAACATCACAAAGAAACTTCTGAGAATGCTTCTGTCTAGTTTTTATGTGAAGATATTTCCTTTCCCACTTTAGGCCTCAAAGCTCTCCAAATTTCCACTTGAAGATTCTACAAAATGATGGTTTCAAAACTGCTCTATGATAAGGTATGTTCAACTCTGTCAGTTGAAGGCAAACATCACAAAGGTGTTTCTGAGAATTCTTCTCTCTAGTTTTTATGGGAAGATATTTCCTTTTCCACCACAGGCCTCAAAGCTTTCCAAAAGTCCACTTGCAGATTCTACAAAAAGAGTGTTTCAAACCTGCTCTATCAAAAGAAAGGTTCAACTCTGTGAGTTGAATGCACACATCACGTAGAAGTTTCTGAGAATGTTTCTGTCTGGTTTTCATGTGAAGATATTTCCTTTTCCACCATAAGCCTCAAAGTTCAGAAATGTCCACTTGCAAATTCTACAAAAAGAGTGTTTCAAAACTGCCCTATCAAAAGAAATGTTCAACTCTGTGAGTTGAATGCACACATCAAAAAGAAGTTTCTGAGAATGTTTCTGTCCAGTTTTATATGAAGATATTCCCATTTCCAACGAATGCCTCAAAGCAGTCCAAATATCCACTAGCAGATTCTACAAAAAGAGCATTTCAAAACTGCTCTATGACAAATTATGTTCAACTCTGTAAGTAGTTGAATGCAAACATCACAAAGAAGTTTCTGAGAATGCTTCTGTCCAGTGTTTATGTGAAGATATTCCCGTTTCAAATGAAGACCTCAAAGCAGTACAAATATCCACTTGCAGATACTAAAAAAAGAGTGTTTCAAACCTGCTCTATCAAAAGAAAGTTTCAACTCTGTTAGTTGAATGTACACATCACAAAACTTTCTTAGAATCCTGCTGTCTAGTTTTTATGTGAAGATATTCCCGTTTCCAGCGAAGGCCTCTAAGCGGTCCAAATATCCACTTGCAGATTCTTCTAAAAGAGTTTTTTGGAGGGAGGACCCAAGATGGCCGAATAGGAACAGCTCTGGTCTACAGCTCCCAGCCTGAGCGACGCAGAAAATGGGTGACTTCTGCATTTCCATCTGAGGCACCGGGTTCACCTCACTAGGGAGTGCCAGACAGTGGGCGCAGGTCAGTGGGTGCGCTCACCATGCACGAGCTGAAGCAGGGCGAGGCATTGCCTCACTTGGGAAGTGCAAGGGGTCAGGGAGTGCCCTTTCTGAGTCAAAGAAAGGGGTGATGGATGCACCTGGAAAATCGGGTCACTCCCACCCAAATATTGCACTTTTCGGACTGGCTTAAAAAACGGCGCACCACTAGATTATATCCCGCACCTGGCTCGGAGGGTCCTATGCCTATGGAGTCTCGCTGATTGCTAGCACAGCAGTCTGAGATCAAACTGCAAGGCGGCAGTGAGGCTGGGGGAGGGGCCAGGCTAGCTTAGGTAAACGAAGCAGCCAGGAAGCTCGAACTGGGTGGAGCCCACCACAGCTCAAGGAGGCCTGCCTGCCTCTGTAGGCTCCACCTCTGGGGGCAGGGCACAGACAAACAAAAAGACAGCAGTAACCTCTGCAGACTTAAATGTCCCTGTCTGACAGCTTTGAAGAGAGCAGTGGTTCTCCCAGAACGCAGCTGGAGATCTGAGAACGGGCAGACTGCCTCCTCAAGTGGGTCCCTGATCCCTGACCACCGAGCAGCCTAACTGGGAGGCACCCCACAGCAGGGGCACACTGACACCTCACACGGCAGGGTATTCTAACAGACCTGTAGCTGAGGGTCCAGTCTGGTAGAAGGAAAACTAACAAACAGAAAGGACATCCACACCAAAAACCCATCTGTACATCACCATCATCAAAGACCAAAAGTAGATAAAACCACAAAGATGGGGAAAAAACAGAATGGAAAAACTGGAAACTCTAAAACACAGAGCGCCTCTCCTCCTCCAAAGGAACGCAGCTCCTCACCAGCAATGGGACAAAGCTGGATGGAGAATGACTTTGACGAGGTGAGAGAAGAAGTCTTCAGACGATCAAATTACTCTGAGCTAAGGGAGGACATTCAAACCAAAGACAAAGAAGTTGAAAAAGTTGAAAAAAATTTAGAAGAATGTAAAACTAGAATAACCAATACAAAGAAGTGCTTAAAGGAGCTGATGGAGCTGAAAACCAAGGCTCGAGAACTATGTGAAGAATGCAGAAGCTTCAGGAGCCGATGCAATCAACTGGAAGAAAGGGTATCAGCAATGGAAGATGAAATGAATGAAATGAAGTGAGAAGGGAAGTTTAGAGAAAAAAGAATAAAAAGAAATGAGCAAAGCCTCCAAGAAATATGGGACTATGTGAAAAGACCAAATCTAAGTCTGATTGGTGTACCTGAAAGTGATGGGGAGAATGCAACCAAGTTGGAAAACATGCTGCAGGATATTATCCAGGAGAACTTCCCCAATCTAGCAAGGCAGGCCAACATTCAGATTCAGGAAATACAGAGAACAACACAAAGATACTCCTCGAGAAGAGCAACTCCAAGACACATAATTGTCAGATTCACCAAAGTTGAAATGAAGGAAAAAATGGTAAGGGCAACCAGAGAGAAAGGTCGGGTTACCCTCAAAGGGAAGCCCATCAGACTAACAGCAGATCTCTCGGCAGAAACCCTTCAAGCCAGAAGAGAGTGGGGGTCAATATTCAACATTCTTAAAGAAAAGAATTTTCAACCCAGAATTTCATATCCAGCCAAACTAAGCTTCATAAGTGAAGGAGAAATAAAATACTTTACAGACAAGCAAATGCTGAGAGATTTTGTCACCACCAGGCCTGCCTTAAAAGAGCTCCTGAAGGAAGTGCTAAACATGGAAAGGAACAACCGGTACCAGCCACTGCAAAATCATGCCAAAATGTAAAGAACATCGAGATTAGGAAGAAACTGCATCAACTAATGAGCAAAATCACCAGCTAACATCATAATGACAGGATCAAATTCACACATAACAATATTAACTTTAAATGTACATGGATTAAATGCTCCAATTAAAAGACACAGACTGACAAATTGGATAAAGAGTCAAGACCCATCAGTGTGCTGTATTCAGGAAACCTGTCTCACTGGCAGATACACATATAGGCTCAAAATAAAAGGATGGAGGAAGATCTACCAAGCAAACGGAAAACAAAAAAAGGCAGGGGTTGCAATCCTAGTCTCTGATAAAACAGACTTTAAACCAACAAAGATCAAAAGAGACAAAGAAGGCCATTACATAATGGTAAAGAGATCAATTCAACAAGAAGAGCTAACTATCCTAAATATACATGCACCCAATACAGGAGCACCCAGATTCATAAAGCAAGTCCTGAGTGACCTACAAAGAGACTTAGACTCCCACACATTAATAATGGGAGACTTTAACAACCCACTGTTAACATTAGACAGATCAACGAGACAGAAAGTCAACAAGGATACCCAGGAATTGAACTCAGCTCTGCACCAAGCGGAACTAATAGACATCTACAGAACTCTCCACCCCAAATCAACAGAATATACATTTTTTTAGCACCACACCACACCTATTCCAAAATTGACCACATAGTTGGAAGTAAAGCTCTCCTCAGCAAATGTAAAAGAACAGAAATTATAACAAACTATCTCTCAGACCACAGTGCAATCAAACTAGAACTCAGGATTAACAATCTCACTCAAAACCGCTCAACTACATGGAAACTGAACAACCAGCTCCTGAATGACTACTGGATACATAACGAAAAGAAGGCAGAAATAAAGATGTTCTTTGAAACCAACGAGAACAAAGACACAACATACCAGAATCTCCGGGATGCATTCAAAGCAGTGTGTAGAGGGAAATTTATAGCTCTAAATTCCCACAAGAGAAAGAAGGAAAAATCCAAAACTGACACCCTAACATCACAATTAAAAGAACTAGAAAAGCAAGAGCAAACACATTCAAAATCTAGCAGAAGACAAGAAATAAATAAAATCAGAGCAGAACTGAAGGAAACAGAGACAAAAAAAACCCTTGAAAAAATTAATGAATCCAGGAGCTGGTATTTTGAAAGGATCAACAGAATTGTTAGACTGCTAGCAAGACTAATAAAGAAAAAAAGAGAGAAGAATCAAATAGACACAATAAAAAATGATAAAGGGGATATCACCACCAATCCCACAGAAATACAAACTACCATCAGAGAATACTACAAACACCTCTACACAAATAAACTAGAAAATCTAGAAGAAATGGATAAATTCCTGGACACATACACTCTCCCAAGACTAAAGCAGGAAGAAGTTGAATCTCTGAATAGACCAATAACAGGAGCTGAAATTGTGGCAATAATCAATAGTTTACCAACCAAAAAGAGTCCAGGACCAGATGGATTCACAGCCGAATTCTACCAGAGGTAAAAGGAGGAACTGGTACCATTCCTTCTGAAACTATTCCAATCAATAGAAAAAGAGGGAATCCTCCCTAACTCATTTTATGAGGCCAGCATCATTCTGATACCAAAGCCAGGCAGAGACACAACCAAAAAAGAGAATTTGAGACCAATATCCTTGATGAACATTGATGCAAAAATCCTCAGTAAAATACTGGCAAAACTAATCCAGCAGCACATCAAGAAGCTTATCCACCATGATCAAGTGGGCTTCATCACTGGGATGCAAGGCTGGTTCAATATATGCAAATCAATAAATGTAATCCAGCATATAAACAGAGCCAAAGACAAAAACCACATGATTATCTCAATAGATGCAGAAAAAGCCTTTGACAAAATTCAACAACCCTTCATGCTAAAAACTCTCAATAAATTAGGTATTGATGGGACATATTTCAAAATAATAAGAGCTATCTATGACAAACCCACAGCCAATATCATACCGAATGGGCAAAAACTGGAAGCATTCCCTTTGAAAACTGGCACAAGACAGGGATGCCCTCTCTCACCACTACTATTCAACATAGTGTTGGAAGTTCTGGCCAGGGCAATTAGGCAGGAGAAGGAGATAAAGTGTATTCAATTAGGAAAAGAGGAAGTCAAATAGTCCCCGTTTTAAGACGACATGATTGTATATCTAGAAAACCCCGTTGTCTCAGCCCAAAATCTGCTTAAGCTGTTAAGCAACTTCAGCAAAGTCTCAGGATATAAAATCAATGTCCAAAAATCACAAGCATTCTTATACACCAACAACAGACAAACAGAGAGCCAAATCATGAGTGAACTCCCATTCACAATTGCTTCAAAGAGAATAAAATACCTAGGAATCCAACTTACAAGGGATGTGAAGGACCTCTTCAAGGAGAACTACAAACCACTGCTCAAGGAAATAAAAGAGGATACAAACAAATGGAAGAACATTCCATGCTCATGGGTAGGAAGAATCAATATCGTGAAAATGGCCATACTGCCCAAGGTAATTTACAGATTCAATGCCATCCCCATCAAGCTACCAAAGCCTTTCTTCACAGAATTGGAAAAACCTACTTTAAAGTTCATATGGAACCAAAAAAGAGCCCGCATTGCCAAGGCAATCCTAAGCCAAAAGAACAAAGCTGGAGGCATCACACGACCTGACTTCAAACTATACTACAAGGCTACAGTAACCAAAACAGCATGGTACTGGTACCAAAACACAGATATAGATCAATGGAACAGAACAGAGCCCTCAGAAATAACGCCACATATGTACAACTATCTGATCTTTGACAAACCTGAGAAAAACAAACAATGGGGAAAGGATTCCCTATTTAATAAATGGTGCTGGGAAAGCAGGCTACCCATATGTAGAAAGCTGAAACTGGATCCCTTCCTTACACCTTATACAAAAATCAATTCAAGATGGATTAAAGACTTAAACGTTCGACCTAAAACCATAAAAACCCTAGAAGAAAACCTAGGCATTACCATTCACGACATAGGCATGGGCAAGGACTTCATGTCCAAAACACCAAAAGCAATGGCAACAAAAGCCAAAATTAACAAATGGGATCTAATTAAACTAAAGAGCTTCTGCACAGCAAAAGAAACTACCACCAGAGTGAACAGGCAACCTATAAAATGGGAGAAAATTTTCGCAACCTACTCATGTGACAAAGGGCTAATATCCAGAATCTACAATGAACTCCAACAAATTTACAAGAAAAAAACAAACAACCCCATCAAAAAGTGGGCGAAGGACATGAACAGACATTTCTCAAAAGAAGACATTTCTGCAGCCAAAAAACACGTGAAAAAATGCTCATCACCACTGGCCATCAGAGAAATGCAAATCAAAACCACAATGAGATAGCATCTCACACCAGTTAGAATGGCAATCATTAAAAAGTCAGGAAACAACAGGTTCTGGAGAGGATGTGGAGAAATAGGAACACTTTTACACTGTTGGTGGGACTGTAAACTAGTTCAACCATTGTGGAAGTCAGTGTGGCGATTCCTCAGGGATCTAGAACTAGAAATACCATTTGACCCAGCCATCCCATTACTGGGTATATACCCAAAGGACTATAAATCATGCTGCTATAAAGACACATGCACACGTATGTTTATTGCGGCATTATTCACAATAGCAAAGACTTGGAACCAACCCAAATGTCCAACAATGATAGACTGGATTAAGAAAATGTGGCACATATACACCGTGGAATACTATGCAGTCATAAAAAATGATGAGTTCATGTCCTTTGTAGGGACATGGATGAAATTGGAAATCATCATTCTCAGTAAACTATCGCAAGAACAAAAAACCAAACACCGCATATTCTCACTCATAGGTGGGAATTGAACAATGAGATCACATGGACACAGGAAGGAGAATATCACCCTCTGGGGACTGTGGTGGGGTGAGGGAAGCGGGGAGGGATAGCATTGGGAGATATACCTAATGCTAGATGACGAGTTAGTGGGTGCAGTGCACTAGCATGGCACATGTATACATATGTAACTAAACTGCACAATGTGCACATGTACCCTAAAACTTAAAGTATAATTAAAAAAAAAGTAAAATAAAAAAAGAAAAAAAAATGCAAATTGCATGTAAGCATATGAAAAGATGCTTATCATATGCCATCAAGGAAATGCATATTTAAACAACAATGAGATACCAAAACATATCCATTAGAATAATCAAAATTCAAAACACAGAAAGCACCAAATGCTGGCAAAGATGTAGAGCAACAAAAATTCTCATTCACTGCTGGTTGGAATGCAAAACAGTATATTTTCACTTTGGAAGACAATGTGGCAGTTTCTTAGAAAACTAAACACAGTCTTACCATGCAATTCAGCCATTGCACTCTTTGTCATTTACCCAAATGAGTTCAAAACGTATGTTCACACCAAGACTTGCAGGTGAATATTTATAGCATTTTCACTTATGATTTCCAAGAGTTGGAATCAAACAACATATTTTTCAGAAGGTGAGTCAACATATAAACTGTGCTATATCCAATGAAATATTCAGTGCTAAAAAGAAATGTCCACTTCCAGTGGAAAATTTTTTTCTACAAAAATTTTTTTCTACAAAAAGAGTGTTTCAAACCTGCTCTATCAAAAGAAAGGTTCAACTCTGTGAGTTGAATGCACACATCACAAAGAAGTTTCTGAGAATGCTTCTGTCTAGTGTTTATGTGAAGATATTCCCGTTTCCATCGAAGGCCTCAAAGCAGTTCAAATATCCACTTGCAGATTCTACAAAAAGAGTGTTTCTAAACTGCTCCATGAAAAGATATGTTCAACTCTGCAAGTTGAACGCACACAACCCATAGAAGTTTCTGAGAATGCTTCTGTCTAGTTTTTGTGTGAAGATATTTCCTTTTCCACCATAGGCCTCAAAGCTCTCCAAATGTCCACTTGCAGATTCCACAAAAAGAGTGTTTCAAACCTGCTTCATCAAAAGAAAAGTTCAACTCTGTGAGTTGAATGCACATATTACAAAGAAGTTTCTGTGAATGCTTCTGTCTTTTTTTATGTGGAGATATTTCCTTTTCTGCCGTAGGCCTCAAAGCACTCCAAATGTCCACTTGCAGATTGTACAAAAAGAGTGTTTCAAAATTGCTATATCAAAACAATGGTTCAAATCCATGAGTTGAATGCACATATCACAAAGAAGTTTCTGAGAATGTTTCTCTCTAGTTTTTATGTGAAGATATTTCCTTTTCCACCATAGGCCTCAAAGCCCTCCAAATGTCAACTTGCAGATTCTACAAAAAGAGTGTTTCAAACCTGCTCTATCAAAAGAAATGTTCAAATCTGTGAGTTGAATGCACACAGTAAAAGGAAGTTTCTGAGAAAACTTGTGTGTCGTGATTATGTGTAGGTACTCCCGTTTCCAATGATGTCCTCAAAGCGGTCCAAATATCCACTTGGAGATACTACTAAAAGAGTGTTTCAAAACTGCTCTAGGATAAAGTATGTTCAACTCTGAGAATTGAAGGCAAACATCCAAATAAGTTTATGAGAATGCTTCTGTCTAGTTTTTATGTGAAGATATTTCCTTTTCCTCCATAGGCCTCAAAGCGCTCCTAATGTCCACTTGTAGATTCTGCAAAAGAGTGTTTCTAACCTGCTCTATCAAAAGAAAGGTTCAACTCTGTGAGTTGAATGCACACATCACAAATAAGTTTATAAGAATGCTTCTGTCTAGTTTTTATGTGAAGATATATCCTTTTCCACCATAGGCCTCAAAGAGCTCCAAATGTCCACTTGCAGATCCTGCAAAAAGAGTGTTTCAATCCTGCTCTATGAAAAGGAAGGTTCAACTCTGTGAGTAGAATGCACACATCACAAAGTAGTTTCTGAGAATGCTTCTGTCTAGTTTTTATGTGAAGATATTCCTGTTTCCAACGAAGGCCTCAAAGCGGTCCAAATATCCACTTGCAGATTCTACGAAAAGAGTGTTTCAAAACAGCTCTATGACAAGGGAGGTTCAACTCCGTGAGTTGAATGCAAACATCACAAAGAAGTTGCTGATAATGCTTCTGTCTAGTGTTTATGTGAAGAGATCCACTTTTCCAACGAAGGCCTCAAAGCGATTCAAATATCCACTTTCAGATTCTACGAAGAGTGTTTCAAACCTGCTCTATCTAAAGAAAGCTTCAACTCTGTAAATTGAATGCACATATCACAAAGAAGTTTCTGAGAATGCTTCTATCTCGTGTTTATTTGCAGATATTCCCGTTTCCAACGAAGGCTTCAGAGCGTTCCAGATATTCACTTGCAGATTCTGCAAAAAGAGTGCTTCAAAATTGCTCTATGAAGAGGTACGTTCAACCCTGTGATTTGAAAGCAAACATCTCAAAGTAGTTCCTGAGAGTTCTTCTGTTTGGTTTTTATATAATATTTCCTTTTCCACCATAGGCCTCAAAGCTCGCCATACGTCCACTTGAAGATTCTACGAAAAGAGGGTTTCAAATCTGCTCTATGAAAAGAAAGGTTCAACTCTGTGAGTTGAATGCAGACATCACAAAGAAGTTTCTGAGAATGCTTCTGTCTTGGGTTTATGTGAAGATAATCCCATCTCCAATGAAGACCTCAAAGCAGTGCAAATATCCACTTGCAGATTCTACTAAAAGAGTGTTTCAAAAGTGTTCTATGATAAGGTATGTTCACCTCTCTGAATTGAATGCACACATCATAAGAAGTTTCTGAGAATGCTTCTGTCTAGTTTTTATGGGAAGATATTTCCTTTTCCACCATAGGCCTCAAAGCACTCCAAATGTCCACTTGCAGATTCTAGAAAAAGTGTTTCAAACCTGCTCCATCAAAAGAAAGGTACAACTCTGTGAGTTGAATGCACACAGTACAAAAAAGTTTTTGAGAAAGCTTCTGTCTAGTGATTATGTGAAGATATTCCCGTTTCCAACGAAGGCCTCCAAGCAGTCCAAATATTCACTTGCAGATTCTACAAAAATAGTGTTTCAAAACTGCTCTATGAAAAGGTATGTTCAAATCTATAAGTTGAATGCAAACATCAAAATGTAGTTCCTTAGAATTCTTCTGTCTGGTTTTTATTTAAAGATATTTCCTTTTCCACCATAGGCCTCATAGGTCTAAATATGTCCGGTGCCGAGTCTACAAAAGGAGTGTTTCAAACCTGCTCTATCAAAAAAAAAAGATTCAACTCTGTGAGTTCAATGCACACATCACAAAGAAGTTTTGGAGAATGCTTCTATCTAGTATTTATGTGAAGATATTCCGGTTTCCAATGAAGGCCTCCAAGCGGTCCAAATATACACTTCCAGACTCTACAAAAAGAGTGTTTCAAAACTGCTCTATCAAAAGAAAGGTTCAACTCTGTGAGTAGAATGCACACATCACAAAGAAGTTTCTGAGAATGCTTCTCTCTAGTTTTTATGTGAAGATATTTACTTTTCCACCACAGGCCTCAATGCTCTCCAAATGTCCACTTGCAGATTCGACAAAAAGAGTGTTTCAAACATTCTCTATCAAAAGAAAGTTTCAACTCTTTGAGGTGAATGCACACATCACAAAGAAGTTTCTGAGAATGCTTCTGCCTGTTTTTGTGTGAACATATTCCTGTTTCCAACGAAGGCCTCAAAGCGTTCCAAATATCCACTTGCATAATCTACAAAAAGAGTGTTTCAGAACTGCTGTATGAAAAGGTATCTTCAACTCTGAGTTGAATGCAAACATTGCAAAGAAGTTTCTGAAAATTCTTCTGTCTAATTTTTATATGAAGATATAACCTTTCCACCATAGGCCTCAAAGCTCTCCAAATGTCAACTTGCAGATTCTACAAAAAGAGTGTTTCAAAGCTGCTCTATCAAAAGAAAGGTTCAACTCTTTGAGTTCAATGGAGGCATGACAAAGAAGTTTTTGAGAATGCTTCTGTCTAGTGTTTATGTGAAGATATTCCCGTTTCCAATGAAGGCCTCATTGCGGTCCAAATATCCACCTGCAGATTCTACAAAAAGAGTGTCTGAAAACTGCTCCATGGAAAGGTATCTTCAACTCTGTGAGTTGAATGCAAACATCACAAAGACGTTTCTGAGAATGCTTCTGTCTATTTTTTGTGTGAAGATATTTCCTTTTCCACCATAGGCCTCAAAGCTCTCCAAATGTCCACTTGCAGATTCTACAAAAAGAGTGTTT